>NC_000001.11:65614441-65917471 GCF_000001405.40 Homo sapiens | reverse complement strand
CAAAGTTACAATTTTCACTGTTCACACTTAGCTAGCAGGGAATAACGGAAGTCCTAGCATCAGGCTACAGTCTCTCACCTGAAAATTACTCTGTGACACTAAAGACAGGTATTTCCTACTAGCTCTTCAGACTCGAGTTAGGAGAACCTGAGACTAGACCTCCTAAAGTTTAAACAAAGTTCTTTACCCTCCGCTCCTCTACCCCACGGCCCCTATCCTAGTTCATATAAGGATAATTAACTCAAGTTTGAGGATCTAGCTGGGTTAATTCAACAAATATTTGACACACATCTATTATTATTTTGCACTGTGCTATTTAAGGATACAATAGCAAAAAGAGGAATGGTATCTTTTCTCATAGAACATATAATCTAGTGATTTATACTTATCTGATGCATGCAAGACTATACTTCGATGATAGAAATCTAGGCAAGAACAGGCTTGAGAATTTTCAGGAGCCCCACCCTCCATACCAGAAAATGAGACACCATTATATTTTCTTGTGCTTGACTTATAATTTTAAAATACTATTTATTTGAAATTCAGTAGAATCATAGTTCAGTATCAGGAAGAAGACAAAACAATTTAAAATTTTCCAGAGTTTGAAACATTCTGGAATGTATCAGTGTTTCACTGTCTAGTAACTAGTTATTATATCAAATCCATTGTAGGCCTAGCACTTACTGTATGTTGTGTGTGTATGTGTGTGTGCATGTGTGTGTGTGTCTATGTGTGTAAATTAGAGGCTAAAGGGAAAAACTAATATATATGTTTATTTTTTAAAAGACTTACAAACTTCTTTAGGAGACAAAATATATAAAATCTTCCTGAAGAGATTTAAGAATAAACTAAAGGAAATCATAATGGTAAATCAGTCTAGTTCCAAATATGCATGTAAAGAAAGCACTGGTTATCTGGAAAGCAAAGTCTTGAATATATACTTTATCTCTTATGTAAGACACACCTTACCAAAGAACAGAAATAAGGATATCTATCATGTAGCTAAACCGCCAACCACCCTAACCTCCTAATATGATTATTAGATATTTTTCTTCTTTAGAAAAAAGAACTATTACCATCCAGGTTTAATTGTAGTAAGTGACCTAAATGGGTACTATTTGGCACTTGTTATTTGAAAAATAAAAAAGTCACACCTATCACAAAATATTTCCCACACTAATTTGCAAACAAGCTCAAATTTTCAAATTTGAAATATTCTTTAAGTTAAAAAGATTTGTTCCAGAAGACCTCAGTTAATATTAAATGCATTGCCACAAAGTAAGAACATAATGGAATAGCTTTTCAGAAATTAAATTCAAGATGAAAACTTAATATTGTTTTACAAACACTAATTAACTCATGCAGATTTATTCATAATTACTTCACACTCTGTAATTCATACCCATAATTTATACACCACTACTCTAAAATTACTAAAAACCTCAAAGTAAAATTTAATTTAGTCAATTCTCAATTACTGATTTGTGATCTTGAACTTCCTTTCCTAAATTTTCAAATATTTTGCAGAAAGGAACATTAATTTGAATGTTACCTCTGGAAATCACAACTTTTAAAATGTATCATGGTTTCCAAAATTCCCTGGTAATATGAAAAATCCCTAAGGAAACAACGTAGTTTTGGATTATCCTTCTGTTTCTGAATAACTGTTTGTTTAAAAGTCAGTATTCTTGCCAATAAAATTTGAAAAGCTTGTCACAAAGGAAAAGGTAGTGTAAAATCCTGCACCTAAGTAGAAGTTTACAGAGAGGAGGGGGAGGGGACACCAAAGGACTGAGCTGTTTGTCATATCCCCATATCGAAACCAACCAAGTTAGGACCATTGAAATGTCCAGATGAGAAATGCTGGTGCTTAAGTAGTCAAGGTTTTGTTGCTGTTGTTACTTGTCTTTTGTTTTGTCTATTTCAGTCATTTTTGAAGCATTCTCTACTTTTTGAATTCTTTTGGTTAAACTCATAGTGAGAAAATGGAATAAGGTATTTTTAAGGTCTCCTACTGTGCTTCGGTACACATTCAATTTGGACCACAGGACATAATTTTTTAAGTCTTATGAAATCAGAAATGGAAATTATGGAAAGCAGCAAATGACAGTCAGAGTCCCTATTGAAGCTAAATGTCATGATACTCCATGAGACAATAATAAAAGTAATTTTTTCTTCAAAAACTGATTTCATTGTAGGCAGTCACCATCAATTACAAGAGTAGTTTGTTGGAATAATTTTTATCGCTCTTACTATTTTCCCTTCTTTGAAACAATCTCCTAATATATTTGCACATATAATTTCTGTGATTAGAAATGCAAATGAGAACCAAAAGTGTAATGTTAAATTTTCTAGTAGATACATTTAAAAAGTAAAAAGAAACAGGTAAAATTTAGTTTAATAACATATTTTACTTAGGCTTGCATATGCAAAATATAACCATTGCAACATGTAATATTATCAAAAATTATTAATGAAATGCTTTGTATTGCACTGTATATTCAAAATCCAAGATGTATTTCATGCTTACAGCACATTTCCATTTAGACTAATACTTAATAGTCACATGTGGCTGGTGGCTACCACAGTGGACAGAGTAAATCTAGGTAATATTTATTCAATATGGTGGGGTTAATGTTCATATCCATTGCATGCTTCTTGCAGGCAACCTTCCTCTTCTTTTGACTATGCCCACCATTCCCTCAGGGAGGATCAGGATTATTATTCTAAGGATGCAATGAGAAAGAACTAATGGTTTGTCCGTATGGAAGGCATTGCTCAGTTTTATTCTTCCAAAAAACAAAATATTGGCGCACACAGTATACAAATAGTATTAAGGGACAATCACAAGCCTTTTTTTTTTTTTTTAAGAAAAAAAGTTTTCTAAATTCCAGAAGTTTTCTTTTAGGTATCCTGAGCAACGCTGGTACTGAGAACTTAGACTATAACTTAAGGAAATGCCCTTCTGGTCCAGGAGAGAGGAAGAAAGAAAAAAAAAAAAGAAGAAGAAGAAGAAGTAAATGCTGCCACAAGTGACAGAACAGAACACATTAACTAGATTCTTTGACACAAAAAATAGAAATGGCAATGGAAAAGGAGTGTATTTGGGAAGGAAAAATCTAAATAGCACACCTAACTCTCCCTCTGCACTGTGGGTCCTACAGGAACACAGAAGGAAGCTGAGAATTAGTTCTAGCATTCTTGCCAAAGGCTTTGCTACGGTATGAGGCAAAGGGACCACAGGGCCCATAGGGTGAGCATCTGTGAAACAGGAGCTTAACAAGATGGATTATTACAGAAAACAAGGAAAATTGTTTTTTCTTCTTCCCTCCCTTCTTTCCTTTCACATATCTGATCAGCGGCACATAATTTTTAGTTCAATTACAAACAGTAATTGGGTAAAGATGAGACAATTAAAGACACACTAATGAAGGATTGGTCAATTGAAAGCAAAGAGATAATTAAGGACCAAGATCCAAAGCTATAGAAGATAGTTTACAGATTTCTTCAGATGATTTAGATCGGGGCTTTCAAACAAAGTACATACCTATTTACTCTGCTATCCCATTAAAATATAGTCTGATTTGTAGGTCTGAGGTGTGGCCTGAGATTCTGCATTCTCAATAAACACCCAGGTAATGCTAATACTGCTAGTCCAAGGACTACACTTCAGTAGCAAAGGCCTAGGGGATGTGTGTATCACAAGCTTCTTAGGAGTAGTTGTCAAAAACCCCACCACAGGAAGTGACTTTCAAGGGTTAGCTGTACATGGGTAAAAGTGTGGAAGAAAGTTATCAGAGAACTGATGATAATGCAAGCAGTGTGGAAAGAGGAATTATCTGAGAGTGAGGATCTGGGCATAGACTAGAGATTGGTGGTTCTGTGATTGAAAACCATAAAAGTGAAACTCAGCCCATTTCCAAGATGCAAAGAGGGCATTGTTCCTGCTGTCCAACTCACAGAACGTCAGGTCCAGGTGCTGGCTGTGCCCATGTCATAGAAACACCTAGTCACAGAGTGGTGTGTTAAATGCCCCCAGCTGCCCTTTGAATAGAATTATCCAGTGACTTCTTTATTGAACAGACCAAACATGATTGGGACCTTTTGAAACTTACATCATCAGCCATCACCGTCATCACACTCCTGCTTTTCTTCATTATAGAGGTGGAAAATATCCCCTCTTAGGATGTCTGTTATTCAATGCAGTTTGCTGACACTTTTTAATACCTACAGGAGAAAAAAACACACAAAAAAGAACAGCTCTGTATCCTTAAAGAAAAATATGTGGCATACTCTCTAAATTAACATTTGAAATATGTACAATGTACATGTAAAAGCAAACATCATAATTTCCCAAGCCAATTAAGTTTGATATGCTGAGAAAAGAGCTTCACAAAATATTAATACAAAAATCCAAGAAATTGGTACAAAGCTATTTGGGAAAAGATAGTAAGAATAATGAGTAACAATTAGGCTCCCAAATAATGATCATGAAGAATCTAAAAATAACATGCATTTTACACAAATGTTTTATAGTTTACAAAGTATATTCCCATAAAATATTTTATTTGATGCTTGCAACAGTTTGTTAGATTATTTTCATCACTTTTTCTACAAAGGAACAGAGAGAACAAATTATTTGGCCAAGGTAACACAGCTAAAATATGACGAGTTCAGAATTTAAAGAATATGACTGCTTTATACTGTCAAAAAAAAAGTGAAGAAAAGTAAACCAATACAGAATATATATACATGAAAGAAAAAAACCTTAATCTTAATTTTTACCACCAGTTTAAATCTCTCATATGTCTATTGCATAAACTAGTAGGCAATTACTTATCACAGAAAATTCTAGCAACCGGTAGTTAGAGCTTGAATTTCCTGGTTTAAGTCACACAAATCTAGCTATTTTGAGATAGAGATGCTGTAGTTCATGACATTGGCTTTGTGTAGATCACTGGAAGTCATTGCAGAAACAAAGAACCTCTATAACACTACCAGAATTTAAGGGTGCACTCTGATTGTGGAAACCAAAGGCAAAGCAGTTACTGGTTTATGAAGACTCAAAGGGAAGAGAGTGGGAGGGGGGTAAAAGGTGAAATAGTATCTATTGGGCACTGTCTTCACTATTTGGGTTGATGGGTTCACTGGAAGCCCAAATCTCAGCGTTACTCAATATATCCATGTAACAAACCTGCACATGTACCCACTAAGTCTAAAATAAAATTTTTAAAATATAAAGTTGTCATACAACAGACTACAAGACAATACAAAGAATTCGGTGTTTGCAGAATTTAACTGAAAAAAGATGTACTATAAAAAATACAAAATCCAAGAAGTATTAGTCCATATAATGGTTTCACAAGGTCTTAGTACCAAAAATATCCTGTATTGTTGCTGAGCTCAAGGACTCCTACATATTTTTTTCACTGTGTCCATTTAACCCTTAATGCATGCCTTATTTAAAAAAAAGTCTGCTTCTCTAGCATGAAGATATATATAGATTAACAGCATGATGAAATTGTAGCTATGTGACTAGGAATACTAAGCAGTGGCATTGTACCATCACCCAGGAAACCAGGGTTGAATTTCTAACACATAATTTGACTACATTATGCAGGAGTTGGCAGTGAAACTGACAAAGTAGATAAGAGAATGGGGGAAGGGAGAAACTTTGCCTTTATAAGTGCTCTAGGGAGAGAACCCCATGGGCTTTTCAGGTATTTGATTCAATATGCAAAGGACAAGAATTTCCTCGGCATACACCAAAGAATGATTAGAACTACGATGCCCCTCTAATGCTGACCAAACAGCAGCAGGCAGAATTTTAATACTTTTACTCAAAGGCTGCTTGAAACCCAGCAAAAGTAGACAAGCAACAAGAGATATTTTATCAGGGTTATAGTCAATATTGAGGGCCTCTATAGTTAGGGTTAAACCTGAAAAAAAAAAAGTTCAGACTCCTAAATTTAAGAAAAGCAAGATTTAAATGTGTTTTAAACGCAGGATATAAAACTATACATACTCAATGATTATAACTGTAAAGTTGTGAGCATATAAAAAATATTAAAGATGCTATGTGAAATGATGATAATGGAAGAATGATAATAATGGAATAAGGGTTATAGAAGGTTTTCTAAGTGAGTTGAATTTCTTTAGTGGAGAAAATGTAGAACAATATGATGTTCAAAAATATAAAAAGGAATGCCAAGAGTGCAATACATGTAGAAAGATGCCATGATGAGGAAGCTTACAACAGGCAGAGAGACAAAATGGTCCAGGGTAACATCAGTAGGTCTTTTTACAAGCAAGAGTATTTTTGTAAGGTCTTAGCCATGGAAATAAATTTGTTTTATGATCCTTTGAGTATGATAACTTACTATATAAATTCATGTGCCTTCAATCGGACACATGTCCTGACTCGGAAAAAGCAGGATCACAAATTACAAGGCAGTTTTCCAAATGTTCTACAATAAAAATACATTATTTTATATTTAGGGAAAAAAGTCAATATATGTTATATAAGACAAAAAAAAAGCAAGAAATATAGATTGATTGTTTTCTGGATATTCCTCATCTGCCCCTTCAGACCCACTCTTGGCCCTTCTCCATTCTGGTCTGTGCCCTGGGAGGCTGGTTCTCAGGTACTGTCTAGCCCTCTGGCTCCTGGGTATGTTCAGCCAATGGAGGCAGTTGCAAAAGATCAGAAGGCAGGAGGAAAGAGGGGACCCTCTCTGCTGGCCATAGTGTAGCCATGGCTAAAACGTTCTACTTGAGGTCACAGATCCTGCAGGCCTCCCTATTTAGCTGTAGAACCGGAAGCAGCTTCCCATTGTTGCTAGCCTCCTGGTATTTCATAGCCCTTTTTGTTTATCCTCAACCCTGCCCATACCCTTTGTAAATAGTACCTCCATTAAACTCTCTTTCAGCTTCTTTAAGAGAACAATCTATTTCCTACTAGGATCCTGACTAATACAGACTTGCTTCCAAAACTTTACAATAGTCAGAAGGTAATTGTTAAATATCTCCCCTCAGTTCCTAGCACAGTGACTGACACAAGCAAGTCTCAATAAATAAGTATTGAAAGAATAAATGAGTAGAACCTACTTGGAGATCTAGATTGGTTTTGATACTTTGAGAAAAGGTCGGCAAGCATTATCTCAATTTGTTTTTGTAAGGCAAAAATAGTTTTGTGTCCTCACTCACAGATGACAATGGAGATTCTTTTCAGGAACCTCTGCTGCCTTTTGTTTAGGCTAACAGAGATGGAGGATTTACCTTCAGCCATTTTTAAGCACTCTACGTACATGATTTCAATTATGTCATAAAAGCAACCAACCAAATGAGCTAGGCACAATTATCAAGACAAGTGAGGGAATCATTTCTTGGGAACAGTAATGAAGCCTGCCCAAAGGCATGCACTCTACTGGTTAAGACCAGAACATTCTTGTTCTAAAACCAAGACTATTAACCTATCACTGTACCACTGATTGGGTCTTATTTACATCTTTTCAAGGTGAAACTAGGTGAAATGGTCTTTATATCTTTTTTTTCTGATATTGGTAATACAAGTTAAGGTGATCAGTTTCCTGGAGCCATGCTCCCTACTAGCGTAAGGACAAAAAGGAGTGATATTAAAAGATACTAAAGTTTTTAAATGCCTCATATTTAAGGCAAATGTTGTAAGTGAGAGGACAGATCAGGTTCTCTTAATCTGAGATTACTGTCCCTTATAAAATTTGCTTCTGAATAAGCAAAACACCATATGCTTCATTAAAACAAAGTCTTTCTAAAAATTTCCAAGGTGACAAATGTGATGACAGATTCCATTTCTGATATATGTTTAATAGTTTTCCCTGTGGTTTTATATTTCACCACTTAAAAGATGCTTTTAAATTTATATTAGTCCTTCATAACGTTCTGTTTTATTCACACTAGAATATTCTTTATATAATTGCACCTTTTCCTCTTTCCCCTTTCTCCACAGATATTTAAAGGCTAAAATGAGGAAAAGGACCCTGACTTCTGTGTTAATGTGTGAATTTCACCTTTCACAGGTTAGAGTTATCAGTACTAGTGATACCTGGCTAAAAGGAATTTCAGTGAATAGTGATAATTATTTTAAAATTCTATATCATGGACACATGCTAGACAAAACCATGCAGAAATGAGAAAAACAAAAGTAATATTTTGAGTTTAAAAATACTACTTTTTTTCCAATTTAAAAAATATCTTTTATTTTGCAGATGATGTTCAAAAAGCTTTCATTCTATTTCTTATGTAACTGATTTATTGAACATTCTGAACTCAGTAGAGCACAGATATGAACTAGTCTTCATTTTTCTCCAATAACTGTTTTCCATATGCAATATCAAATCTATTCTCTCCTCCTTAACAACAGTTCAGATTGCTTCCATAACTCCCATCGTATAACTGTTTTAATTCAGTGGCCAGTGTCTGGGACTTGGAGTGGGAAGAAAGAATGTACTACTCTTTTATTCTTCCTCTCTATTTTTATCTTCAGGTTCTAACTCTTTCTATATTGTGGCAGAGTAGAAGAACTAATGACAAGAGGGAAAAGTCTTCTTACTTAACTAAGCATTTAATTGCAGTCCTTTTTGAGTGTCTCTGCTTCTCTGGTAAAATCAGACTTACTTTGACGCCTTCTCTAAGGAAGGTGTTGAGATGAGGCCCTTCCTGTAACGGGGCAGTAGGAGCTTTCACACTGGGGAGAAGTAACTTCAGTTCCACCCCCACTGGCACACATTGAAACTCCTGTTGGTAAGGTCCCCTTGCCCGATAGTCTACTCTCTTGATTGGAATAATGACATGATGGCTCAAGCTGCAATGTCCACTTGATCCAGAATAAGCTCAAGCATCCTTGTCACACTAAATATATATATCACTAAATGTATGTATACTAAATGTATAGATACACCTAAATGTATAGGCTGCTTTGCTGCTATTTCTTCTCTGTTCCTTGCTATATCTCTCCACTTCTCTTTCTCCTTCTCAAAAAAGCACAAAATCCTTCTCCATAAGTGATCAATGGAGAGAAGAGATACTGTCAGTTATTTACCAATGTCTTTCAGCCCCAAGCCAATCATTCTAAATTCTGCTATGTGAATCAAACTACATTGCAGACTACATCGCAAACTATATTTAACAGATTCTCTTTCTAGGTGGCTTCCTTTAGGTGCTGACAATGGAAATCACTGGTAGGAGACTAGAAGAGACTTGGAGAGAGGAGACCCTCTTTATTCTTCCAGGAGAATTGACAAATTGCTTGTATTAAATCCTTTTGTTTTCCTAACTGGAGCCTAAGGGATACAGAAGTTAACCTGTCCTTTGTTGAAGGCACTTGTCTCTAGAAATGGTTCTTCATTTTCAGTAGGCCAATAACGCACTTCTCCAACACCTCCTCTCCCCACCTAGAGTCTATGTATATGAGAGTTCAGAGGTTGCCAGGATGAGGATTAGAATCAGAACCCATCTGGCTGCCTCTGCCTCAGAGCGAGGTACGAGACCACCCTTGTGTATGTCTATCCTTACAGAACGTGAAATAGTTTGATGGCTTTTAGTTCACTGTTTTGGGTTACAGTTGCCCTTTCTAGCTTAACAGGAAAAGTCCTACTCATCTCCTTTTAGATGAGAAAATGTCCATTTATGAAATGACAATAATATAATGAGGCATTGGTGTATTTTTGCTTTGTTTCTTAATGTTCTGAACTGAGAAAACTAAAAATTGGCAATTCTACGTAAGTCTCCTAATTCTTTGGAAATTTTATCAATTCATAAAGTATAAACGTCTAAGAACCTCAAAACTAGACCATGGGATCTTGACTTTTAAAACTAACATCAAGGTTTAGTTCAAGAAAAAGAAGGTTTTCTGGTTTGTGCTAGCATGTACTGTACTATGAACTGAAGGAAGACATGCCGGATAAAGCAGAGCCTGAACTGCTGTCTCCACTCCCAGCCCCGACATCCACCTAGCTCTAGTTATCCACTTAGCTCTGGGACTTCGGTTTCCTCAATTGTCAAATAAAGGGATTGGAGTATAATCATCCGTAAACTTTATGAAACTAATGAAATTCCAGAAAACTAGCAGAAATAAACACAAACTATAAAAAACAACTCTAAAGACTCAACAATTAGATAAACATATCAGAATTTGATACATAAAATATTAGACTTTCCCCCTTAATTTGCATCTACTGCTCTCTTCACACTTTCAGAAATTCAGGACTACTGCACTCAGTTATTGCTGCTTTCTTATTTTAATATGATGGAGATAAACAGAGGCAAATGTGCTTCCTCCCCAAAATTTTTGAAGTTGTATGATGCAAAAAATAAAGAGCAAGTAAATTTGAGGGGAAAAAAGTATATGTAATAAGAAAGGTCATTTTATTTGTAAAGTTGCTCAATATTTAGACACAAACATTGCTTGGAGAGAAGAATCAGTTTTTTCAATTAAGTAATAAGTATCAATGACTTTTGAGATAAAAACTGAAAAGTGCTAGGGATTAATATGAACTTAAACCATTAGCTTATCCTGAGAGAACAATAAGTAACAAAGACATAATGGCATCCTTTTAAATAATCATCAAAAGGCAAAGTAGCCAGGCTAAATGCTGCTTTGAGTAAAACATGTCTCCTGAACAACCACTTAAACCAATTTCTACTATAAAATACATTCTTTGTAAATTACTAATAGGGCATGCATTTGAAATCAATACACATGGTGACAAAAAAAGAAAGAATTCTTAATATTCAATTTGCTGAGCTGAATGCTAATGTTCAACAATAACACAACAGAGAGAAAGTGACAAACTAACCCCATGTTTCTGCTTGTGTAAATAATGCCTCAATGAATTTGTTAGTGAATTTCCCTGCAGTATATACTAAGTGGGTAAGTTTTAAAGAGTTGAATTATTTTTCCTAGTCTAAAAAAAAGTAATCACTGATTAATCTCTTATGGTTTAAAATACCATAAAGAGGCATATAAATCACTTTCATTTCAGCCATTTTTTGTTTCATCTTAAACAAAAGGAAAAGAACAAAAAAATCCCTGTATTCAAATCTATTAATAACCTGGTATTGCAAGCTCTCTCCACACCTGAGAGTTTTCATCTCTGAGTTATCACTGTGCCAAAGTGAAGATGGCATTAGTGGAGGTTTAGGATGGATTAGAGAATTTTTTCCGTCTCCTAAAATAAACCACAGAAGATCTACAAACAGATGTAATAGGCAAGTATGGCTGAAACACATTCAATTCATTTAATATTTGCTGGGCATCTGCTCATGCTCAAATTTAGATCTTCTAATGCTACCCTCAAAGGTATTTATCAAACAGCCACTCTAGGATTTCAATTAATATTACCAACTTTCAATGAGAGTATAAAAAATTAAATTGCATCCATGATCCAAAACCCCCATTTCCATCCATCATGAAAAACCACTTCTTTTCATCTGATTTCTCAACAACAACATCAACAAAAGATTGAGAGCCCAACATGTGGTAGGGACTTGCTAGATGCCGTGGATAATACAAAGACGAATATACATAGTCCTTGGCCTTAAAATGCCCCTGTCTCATCTTAGGAGAGGAGAATCAACGCTTATTCATCCTACAATACTGAACACCTTGGCCTGGGTCAGGTTCACAGTGCAGTGTGAGAAGTGCAACAGATCATGGGTTCATTAGGTGAAAAAATGAGTGAAGCCACCTCTATGGGCAAAATGTTATCAAGGAAAGCTTCATTGAGGAGGCTACTGTCCTTTTCCAGGTATTGTAACTAAGAAACAAAGAGAGAAGCCCTTCCACTCCCCCTCTCTCTATTCTCCAGTGTGATCTTTTAAAAATGCAAAATTCCTTATATTAATCCCCAGCTTTGCATTCTTCATGCTTTCTGTAATTTTTAGGATAAAGCAAAACCCTTAATATGAAGATTAATCATACAAGTCCCTACAGATCTGGTCCCTGCTTGACTTTTAAACCTCAACTTCCTATTTTTGCTTCCACTTGCTTCCCCACCTTATGCTTATGCCACATCACTCTCCCCTGTAACTCATTTAGCTTTAGTTCGACTGGATGTAGAGTGTATCCAGCATGCCCTTCTTGTCTCCAAACTTTTCCTACACTATAACATGTCTTCAACTTTGCCGGGCTAACCCATTCTTCAGCCTTCAGCTTTGATGTCATTTGTTCAGAAAAGCCTTTATGGACTTCCCCTACCTGTAAGAAGGTATTATCACATTATTTTTCTATTCACAGTATTTTTCACAATTACATATTTGTTTGTATGAATGAATAGGTTTATGCCTCCCAGAAGCTCATAGAGAATACTGCCAACCACTATATCTCTTGTGCCAAGCAATAAATATTTGCTGGAAAATGTTTGAATGAGTAGACTAGATAGGCTTGAGGCCTCTTGCTAGATTCCCTGAAAGTGTGATAATCCAAAAGCAGCAGATAGGAGGGGGCAGGAAATAGAATCAGAATGCCTGGTAAACTGCAAATGTCAGCTATATTGACAGGATACATATTCCTACTCTTCTGACAGAGATATGAATAACTTTATGGCAGGCACTATTCTATAGTCCCTAAATCTATCATCTCATGTAATTCTCACAACTATTTTTATCTCCATTTTGCAGGGGAGAATTCTGAGGCCCAGAAAGGGTGAATGACTCATCTAAGCTCACTAATCTAGGAAAAGGCAGAGAGACAGGATTCACACCCAGGCACTATGCCTGCAGAGCTCATGAAATTAACCATTACGTCTGCTGCCACTTGGAAGCAGCAAATAAGCATTGTTTATCAGAGAACAAGCAGCAAATAGGATGGGTCAGGGCCAAGAAACAGGATAATTGGGAATAAAAGTAGTATTTCAGAACAAGAAAGGAATCAGAAGATTTTTTTAATGATGAAACATAAAGGAGAGATATGCAGTTGGCAGAACATATGGAGCCTATGAACAGCTACTCTTTCATGTAATCTCATAGGAATTTACATTAAATTGGAAAACGTAAATTGTGTGTATAAAACTGTATATCTAAAACATAACTTAAAAAGCATAATAATTTGTCTCTGTTTTATCTTATGTTTCAACAAGAATTCACCAAGTATTTTTTCTTCTAAATTAGACTTTGATCCAATACTAAATTTTTTTTAAGTTAATACAGAAGACTCATGACATTCATTCACAAGTGCTATGTCTCTAGACTTCAAAAAATTGTCCACCTGTACAGTGCTGTTCAAACATGTTTCATGGGGTATATGGGACACAGACAGTAATTTGGTGTAAGTCTTCTATGTAGACTCAAAGACCCCAGACACTCTTCATCAAGTAACTTTTTTTCCTTTCTTGGGAAGACCACTGAAACAACAAAGGGCAATAGTTCATTCTTGTTTTAAGCAAGCAAGCACACAAAATTTCTGTGCATTCCTTTCTCAGAAATATAAATACTACATCATTACAGACTTCATAAGAGGAAGATAACAAAAATGTGAGAAATCTTTCCAGGACTTCAAATGAATTAATGGCCTAATATTTACTGGCTTAACTGAAATATAATTGGATATGAAGTCTGCCAGTGATTCCCTACCTAGAAGCAACATCCAATTTGGGCCTGTCTGTCCCAGCTCTATTAAAATGTCAGGGGATTCAGGTCTATGTGGACATACGAAAAATAAGCATGTAAACAGAAACAATTTCAAAAGCAGAAGGCTGAAACTCATGTGGTAATACTAGAATGCCACATAATATTGTTTTGATAGAACATAAAGGAACATAGAAATACATTTTTATTGGTCTTTAAGTGTCTTCATATTTAGAAACTATCATTTCCTTATTTATTTTTGTTTTTTTAAATTTTTTAAAAATTATTTTGAGACAGGCTCTTGCTCTATTGCCCAGGCACGACCATGGCTCACTGCAGCCTCAACCTCGTGGGCTCAACAGATTCTCCGACATCAGCCTCTCAAATGAGCAGGGACTACAGATGCACACTCCCACACCTGGCTAGTGTGTGTGTGTGTGTGTGTGTGTGCATGTGTGTGTGCATATTTTGTAGAGATGGGTTTCGCCATATTGCCCAGGCTATATTTATTTTTAAAGATGAGAAATTAAGCTTTGCCCTAAGAATGGACTCATCCATGAAATTTGACAAGCACCTAATACATTTGATATGCAGGAAATGAGAGGCCAGAAGGAACAAATATTAGAGGACAAAGAGACTTAGCAGCTACAACATCTAATTTTTAACTATTTTACATTCTGGAACTCTGTGTAAGATTTTACTTGACAAGAAGTTCTGCCACTTAAAAAGAAAAGCTTGAAAACCACTACAGTAGTGCTTATTATACCCACTTCCATAAAATGTCTTAGAGCAGTGATTTTCAACTTTTACTTATTAAAATACCACCTTTGTAATGTTTGCCATACCATGATTCCCTTATTTTACAGATAAAATATAGAGATCCATAAAAGCTGACCTGTCATTCACCTAGTTGGTTGCATAACTTGGCTTTTGGTCCACAGTTTGTTCCACTACAGTGCCTATATCTGCAGACTCTAAATTAAAGGGTTGTTTTGTTTAGTTTTGGTTTTGTTTCAGCAAAAGCTTATTTATATATTGGAAAGCATTCTAAAACCAAAAAATATACTTCTGCACCCACCAAAATCTTATTTATGAATTCATATAGTCATGTACTTGGGCATTTATTCATTCATGTATCCAACAACAATTTATTGAGCATTACTGAGGGCTGTGTACTGTATAGGCATTGAGGAATCATAGATGAAACAGTATGACTTCTGTCCTCAAGGACTGTTGAATCTAAGTAGAGTATCATCACAATCGTAATGCACAACTGATACAATCAGTTATATGACAGAGATGCTTTACAAGGTGTGACAATAACTTAGAGGAAAGTTATGTAAGTCTGCCTAGGAGGACCAGGGAAGGCTTCATCAAGAAAGTAAATCTGAACTGTGCTTTTGTAAGGTAAGTGGAATTTTATCAGGAAGATGAAGGAAAGTAGTTGATTCATAAACAAAACTTCTTATCACTGATACTTAGCTACCAATAAGAGCTCAATTAGTGACTATGAAATCATTAACAAGTCATTTGATCCTTCTAATCTTCCATTTCTATTGGCAAAACAATTATTTGTTGCATACATTTCTGATATGGCTTCAATAACACATAATCAATATAAGAAAGTGTTAAAACATTGCATGCTACTCTAAGATCAACCACAGACTCATCCATAAATTAAGTCTCAATAAGTTCAAGAAAATCAAGATCATACCCACCATACTCTCAGTCCACATTGGAATAAAAATAAAAGTCAATACCATGAAGATCTCTCAAAACCACACAATGACATGGAAATTAAACAACTTGCTCCTGAATAACTTTTGGGTAAATAAAAAAAATTAAGGCAGAAGTAAAAAAATTTCTTGAAATAAATGAAAATAGAGACACATACAAAATCTCTGGGATGCAGCAGAAGCAATGTTAAAAGTTTATAGTGCTAAACACCTAAACCAAGAAGTTAAAAAGATCTCAAATCAATGATCTAAGATGACACCTAGAGGGACTAGAAAAATAAGAACATACTAATCCCAAAGCCATCAGAAGAAAAAACATAACTCAAATCAGAGCAGAACTAAATGAAACTGAGACTCATAAATCCATCCAAAGAAACCAAAAATTGTTTCTTTGAAAAGATAAACAAGATGAATAGAACACTAGCTAAATTAACAAAGAAACACACAACCTCTCAAGATTGAATCAGAAAGAAATTGAAACTTCAAACAGACCAATATCAAATTCAAAATTGAATCAGAAATAAATTGAAACTCTGAATAGACCAATATCAAGTTTTGAAATTGAATCAGTAATAATAAAACAACTTACCAATCAAAAAAAGCCCTGGGCCAGATGGACTCACAGACAAATTTTACCAAATGTACAAGAAGAGCACTTCTCCCTAATTCATTCTATGAAGCCAACATAACCCTGATACCAAAATCTGGCAAAGGCACAACAATAAAACTACAGAAATATGCCTAATTAACATATATGCAAAAATCTTCAACAAAATATAGCAAACTGAATTCAGAAGCACATCAGAAAGTTAATTCATCATGATCCAGTAGGCTTTATTCCTGGGATGCAAGGTTAATTCATAATATGCAAATCAATAAATGTGATTCATCACATAAACAGAATTGAAAACAAAAACCATATAATCATTTCAATGATGCAGAAAAAGCTTTAAATAAAATCCAACATCCCTTCATGAAAAAACTCTCAACATATTAGGCATCAAAGAAACATACCCTCAAAATAATAAGAGCCATGTATGAAAAACCCACAGCCAACAGCATACTGAATGGGCAAAAGCTGGAAGCACTCCCCTTAAGAACAGAAGCAAGACAAGGATTCCCACTCTCACTACTCTTATTCAACATTGTACTGGAAGTCCTAGCCAGAGCAATCAGGCAAAAGAAAGAAATAAAAGTTATCCAAATAGGAAAAAAAGTCAAATTGTCTATCTTCGCTGACAATATGAGTATATACAGAGAAAACCCTAAGGACTCCACTAAAAGGTTCCTAGAACTCATAAATGACTTCAGTAAAGTTTCAGGATACAAGATCAGTGTACAAAAATTAGTAGCATTTCTATACACCAATAACATTCAATCTGAGAGCCAAATCAAGAATGTAATCTCATTCACAATAGTCATGCAAAAATGTAACATACCTAGGAATACACCTAACCAAGGAGGTGAAATATCTTTAGAAGGAAAACTCTAAAACATTGCTGAAAGAAATCACAGATGACACAAACAAATGGAGAAACATTCCATGCTCATAGATTTGAGAAACCACTATCATTAAAATGCCCATAATGCCCAAAGCAATCTATAAATTCAGTGCTATTCCTGTCAAACTAACATCATTTTTCACAGAATTAGAATAAAACTATTCTAAAATTCGTGTGAAATTAAAAAAAGAGCCCAGATAGTGAAAGCAATCCCAAACAAGAACAAAGCTGGAGGTATCATAGCTCCTGACTTCAAACTATACTATAAGGCTATAGTAACTAAAACAACATGGTACCCAAACAAAAACAGACACATATACCAATGGAACAGAATAGAGAAACCAGAAATAAAGCCACACATCTACAACCATCTAATCTTCAACAAAGTCAACAAAAATAAGCAATGGTAAAGGACTCCCTATTCAATAAGTGGTGCTGGCGTAACTGGCTACCCATAGGAAGAAGAATGAAACTGGACCCCTACATTTCATCACATACAAAAATTTTCTCAAGGTTGATTAAATATTTAAATATTAAACCTCAAACTATAAAAATCCTAGAAGAAAATCTAGGAAATACCCTTCTTTTTTATTTTTTTATTTCCATACGTTATTGGGGGAACAGGTGGTGTTTGGTTACATGGGTAAGTTCTTTAGTGGTGATTTGTGAGATTTTGGTGCACCCATAAATCAAGCTGCATACACTGCACCCTATTTGTAGTCTTTTATCCCTCACCCCCTTCCCACCCTTTGTCCCTGAGTCCCCAAATCCATTGTGTCATTCTTATGCCTTTGCATCCTCATAGCTTAGCTCCCGCTTATGAGTGAGAACGTATGATGTTTGGTTTTCCATTCCTGAGTTACTTCACTTAGAATAATGTCTCCAATGTCGTCCAGGTCACTGCAAATGCCATTAATTCATTCCTTTTTATGGCTGAGTACTATTCCATTATATATATATATAAAATGGAATATATATAATATATATTATATATATAAATTACATATATATATATACATATGTAACGTTTCTTTATCCACTAGTTGATTGATGGGCATTGAGGTTGGTTCCACGTTTTTGCAATTGCGAATTGTGCAGCTATAAACATGCATGTGCAAGTATCTTTTTTGTATAATGACTTATTTTCCTCTGGATAGATACCCAGTAGTGGGATTGCTGGAGCAAATAGTAGTTCTACTTTTAGTTCTTTAAGGAATCTCCACACTGTTTTCCATAGTGGTTGCACTAGTTTACATTCCCACCAGCAGTGTAGAAGTGTTCTCCGTTCACTGCATCAACACCAACATCTACCATTTATTTTTTATTTTTTTTATTATGGCCATTCTTGTAGGAGTGAAGTGGTATCACATTGTGGTTTTAATTTGCATTTTCCTGATCAATAGTGATGTTGAGCATTTTTTCACATGTTTGTTGGCCAATTGTACATATTCTTTTGAGAACTGTCTCTTCATGTCCTTAGCCCACTTTTTGATGGGATTTTTTTGTTTTTTTCTTGCTGATTTGTTTGAGTTTGTTGTAGATTCTGGATATTATTCTTCTGACAGATGTATAGATTGTGAGGATTTTCTCCCACTCTGCAGGTTTTCTGTTTACTCTGCTGACTGTTCCTTTTGCCATGCAAAACTCTTTAGTTTAATTAAGTTCCAGCTATTTATCTTTGTTTTTATTGCATTTGCTTTTGAGTTCTTGGTCATAAAATCCTTGCCTAAGCCAATGTCTAGAAGGGTTTTTACAATGTTATCTTCTAGAATTTTTATAGTTTTAGGTCTTAGGTTTAAGTCCTTAATCCATCTTGAGTTGATTTTTGTATAAGGTGAGAGATGAGGTTCCAGTTTCATTCTCCTACATTTGGCTAGCCAATTATCCCAGCACCCTTTGTTGAAAAGGGTGTCCTTTCTCCACTTTATGTTTTTGTTTGCTTTGTCAGAGATCAGTTGTCTGTAAGTATTTTGGTTTATTTCTGGGTTCTCTATTCTGTTCCATTGGCCTGTGTGCCTATTTTTATACGAGTACCATGATGTTTTGGTGACTATGGCCTTATAGTATAGTTTGAAATCAGGTAATGTGGTGCCTCCAGATTTGTTATTTTTGCTTAGTCTTGCTTTGGCTATGCAGCCTCTTTTTTGGTTCCATATGATTTTTAGGATTGTTTTTTCCAATGCTGTGAAGAATGATGGTGGGGAAATACCCTTCTTGACATTAGCATTGGCAAAGAATTTATGACTAAGTCCTCAAAAACAACTGCAATAAAACCAAAATTTGACAAGTGTGACCTAATCAAACTAAAGAAATACTGCACAGAGAAAAGAAACCTATCAACAGAGTAAACAGAAACCCCACAAAATGGAAGAAAATATTTGCAAAGTATGCACTGACAAAGGTATAATATCCAGAATCTTTAGAAACAAACAATTCAACAAGCAAAAAACGACCCCATTAAAAATGGGCAAAGGACATGAAGAGACACTTCTCAAAAAAGACATATAAGTGGCCAAAAGGCATATGAATAAATGCTCAACATCACTAATCATCAGAGATGTGCAAATCAAAATCACAATGAGATACTATCTCACACCAGCCAGAATAGCTATTACTTAAAAGTCAAAAAGTAACAGATGATTGCAAGATTGTAGAGAAAAGGGAAGGCTTATATACACTGTTGGTGGGAATGTAAATTAGTTCAGCCACTGTGGAAAGCAGTTTGGACATTTCTCAAAGAACTTAAAACAGAACTACCTTTTGACCCAGCAATTCCATCACTGGGCATATACCCAAAGGAAAATAAATCATTCTCCCAAAAAGTCACATGCACTCATATTTTAATCATAGCATTAATCACAATACCAAAGCTATGAAATCAACCTGTGTGCCCATCAATGGTAGATTGGATAAAGAAAATGTGGTATATGTACAGCATGGAATACTATGCAGTCATAAAAAAGAACAAAATCATGTCCTTTGCAACAACTTGGGTGCAGCTGGAGGCCATTATCCTAAGCAGATTAACACAAGAATAGAAAACCAAATACACACGCTCTCACTTACAAGTGGGAGCTAAGCATTGGGAAAAATACACACTGGGGAATACTAGAGAGAGAAAAGAAGAAAGGGGTCAAGGGCTGAAAAACTACCTATTGCCTGAGAGATGGAACCATTCATACTCCAAACCTCAGTATTACCCAAGTAACAAGCCTGCACATGTACCCCTAAATCTAAAAGAAAAGTTGAAATTGTATTGCATGCCTTTAGGAAGACAGGAGCATTAATATTTCTAGGATTGATGATAGGCATTTGAAGATTCTCCAATATAAACTTTATTCTATGCAAGCCAATGCATTATATATCTGTGTACAGGTAAGGTCTCTGCAATTGGATTCAGACAAACTCTGGGTTGAAATTCTAATTCTGTCCATAGTAACTGTGGAACATTCAGCAATTTATTTGACGCTTCTGAAACTGTGTTCTTATTTATTAAAATAGAAATAATGCATCCTATATATCTGACAGGGTTATTTTGAGGATTAAATGAAACAGTGAGTGATGCCTGGCAAAGTCTTGCATGTGAGTAGGTCCTTATTAAATACTTTGCTGAATCACAATCCCACCATTTCAGTTAAGTCTCATGCTCTTCATTTCACCACAAAATGCCCTCTTTCAACCTCACTTCCTTTTAAAAAACACAATAGAAATAACAATACCTTACATAACTCTGCTTTTGAGCTATTTATGCCTAAATTTTCTTATTACAAAAGAATATAACAACTGCTTCACAGTCTCCAGGGATCCAGACAGGAGGTCAAGATGAATCTAACAAGGTAAACATTACAATCACCACAAAAGGACGAATCATAAGATGAAGAAATAATATAATTTCTTAAATGGCATTTATCCCAAGTCTTTCAGACTATATATAATCATGAATGATTATAGCAAACAACAAATACTGACAAATTACTATCCAGCCACAAATGTAGTCTATAATACTCTCCCTCAGTGTTGGTGAATAGGAACCAATAACTATTTCTCTCTTTTATCATAAAGCTAAATAACATTGCCTGGATCACAGAAAGATTTTGGGCTTACTTCTGTTTCTCAGACTGTCATTACACAGACTGTGTGTGTATATACACACTGATATGGTTTGGCCATGTCCTCACCCAAATCTCATGTTGAACTGTAGCTCCATAATTCCCATATGTCATGGGAGGGACACAGTGGGAGGCAATTGAGTCATGGGGGTGGGTCTTTCCCACACTATTCTAGTGATAGTGAATTAGTCTCATGAGATCTGATAGCTTTATAAAGGGGAGTTCCCTTACACAAGCTCTCTTGCCTGCTGCCATGTAAGACATGACTTTGCTCCTCATTTGCATTCCATCATGATTGTGAGGTCTCCCCATCCATGTGAAACTGTGAGCCAATTAAACCTCTTTCTTTTTTAAATTATCCAGTCTCAGGTATGTCTTTATTAGCAGTGCGAGAACAGACTAGTAACACATACACACACACACATGCATATATAAAAAATGGAATGTAGATCATTTTTTAAAACAAATACCAACATCCTTCAAATATAGAATGCAAAGGTTACAGAAAATCTTCCTATTCACTTCTTAGGGAATTACTATAAATAATTTGAAGTATTATTATTATTATTATTATTATTATTATTATTATTTTCTTTTTCATCTTTGCCCAGATGACAATAAAACAACTGTCATTATTATCATTTGTAAACCATGTTAAATCTAATACTGTGTTAAGTAATACTGAATAGAGAGAAAATTGCCTTTATTCTCCAGGATTTATATCTGTAACTTCTCCTGTTTCATTATTATCTGGTCATGATTTTTAATGCCTAATGGGAAATTAGGCAATGATCTCCATCCTAATTTTTACAAGACATTCATCCACTTATTTAAAGAAGGTAAATAGTATATTTTTACTATTTGACAGAACATAAAATTAATGTTTATGTGTGGTGAGAAACACGGTCAATGTTCATGTAGACCCCATATTTATCCTGTGGTTGAAGTGTCTTTTTTTTTTTTTTTTTTTTTTGAGACAGTGTCTCACTCTGTCACACAGGCTAGAGTGCAGCGGCGTGATCTCAGCTCACTGCAACCTCTGCAACCCGGGTTCAAGCGATTCTCCTGCCTCAGCCTCCTGAGTAGCTGAGATTACAGGTGCCTGCCACCATGCACAGCTAATTTTCATATTTTCAGTAGAGATGGGGTTTCACCATGTTGGCCAAGCTGATCTTGAACTCCTGACCTCAGGTGATTCACCTGTTTCGGCCCCCCAAAGTGCTGGTATTACAGGTGTGAGCCACCGCACCCAGCCTGAAGTATCATTTTCTCAGCATACCTGAAGTAAAAATGGTATTGAAACTCACCTACTTTAAGCTGAGTAATGTATACAGTTCTCTAACATTGTTAAAACTAAGACACAGAATTTTTCCATCATTTTGCCTCTTTGTGATAAATTCCATCCCCTCACACCTTATAAAGTTGCAATGAACATTCAAGTACAGTACAATATTTTTAAAGACATATGTTTTAATTTGTCTTGGGTAAGTAGCTAAGACTGCGATTTCTGAGTCATTTGGTAAATGTATATTCAACTTTAAAAGAAACTACCAAGTTAATTATCAACATGGCTAAACTACTTTGCATTCCCAGCAGCAGTGTATGAGACTTCCAGACACTTTGCACGTTTGCCAAAACTTACTATTACCAGGTTTTTTGTTCCTGTTTTTGTTCATTTTACCCACTCTAGTGGGAGTATAGTAGTATCTCACTATGCTTTTGATTTACATTTCCCTAAGAACTAACAATGTTGAGCATCTTTTCATGTGTTTATCTTCCATTCATATATTTTCTTTTGTGAAATGATGTTCGACTTTTCCCCCATAATTTTATTTGGTGATTTTTCTCCCTACTGGTTTGTAAGAGTTGCTTACATGTTTTGAAAACAAATTATTTACAAGATATATGCTTTGTAAACATTTCCTTCAAGGCTGAGACATGTCGTTTTATTTTCTGCACAATGTCTTTTAAACAGCAAAGTTTTTAGGTTTAGAATTTTCCAATTTATTAATTTTATATGGTCTGACATTTTGTGTTCTAAGAAATCTTTGATCAACCCATCATTTCATAGATTATGTTCCTATATTTCCTTCTAGAAGTTATATATTTAAGTTTCATATGTATATGTTCATTTTGAGTTAATTTTTTTATATAGCATGAGTTATTATACAAATTAATTTTCCCATATAACATCCAACATTAATTGTTGAAAATACTACCTTTTTCCTCTTTAAGTTACTTAGAAAATTACTTGCTGGTATAGGCATGGAATTATTTCTGGACTCTCTATCTTAGTGTCTATCCTTATGCCAATAGAATATTGTCTTAAAATCACTTAGTGTAAATCCTCTAACTCTGTTTTTTTCTTTTTTTTTATTTCAACAGTTGTTTGGGGTACAGGTAGTTTTTGGTTACATGGATAAGTTCTTTAGTGGTGATTTCTGAGATTTTAGTGCGCCCATCACCCAAGCAGTGTACACTGTGCCCAATATGTAGTCTTTTATCTGGTACCCCCCTCCCAAACTTCCCCTGCAAGTACCCAAAGTCCATTATATCACTCTTATGCCTTTGTGTCCTCATAGCTTAGCTCCCACTTATAAGTGAGAACATACGATATTTGGTCTTCCATTCCTGAGTCACTTCACTTAGAATAATGGCCTCCAGATCCATCCAAGTTGCTGCAAAACACATTATTTCATTCCCTCTTATGGATGGGTAGTCTTCCATGGTATACATATATATACCACAATTTCTTTAAACAGTCACTGTTCAGTGGGTACTTAGGTTGATTCCATATCTTTGCAACTGAAAATTGTCCTGTTATAAACATGTGTGCATGTTTCATATAATGATTACTTTTCCTTTGGGTAGATTGATATCCAGTAGTGGGACTGCTGGATTGAATGGTAGTTTTATTTTTAGTTCTTTAAGGAATCTCCATACTGTCTTCCATGGTGGTTGCACTAATTTACATTCCCACGAGCAGTATAAAAGTATTCCCTTTCACCACATCCATGCCAACATCTCTTTCTTTTTTAATTATGGCGATTCTTGCAGGAGTAAAGAGTAAAGTGTACTTCTTGCAGGAGTAACGTATCTCATTGTGGGTTTAATTTGCATTTCGCTGATGATTAGTGATGTTGAGCATTTTTTCATGTTTGTTGGCTGTTTGTAAGTCAGTCTTCTTTTGAGAAATATCTACTCATGTGCTTTGCTCACCAACTCTGTTTTTTCTTATTAAAAACTGTTCAGCAAGTCAAAGATCTTTGCATTTTAATATAAATTTAGGAAATGTTCATTTTTAATTAAAAATAAGTCCACTAATGAGTTTATCTTTGTGAGCAATTTAAGTAGACAATAACCATGAGTCCCTAAAATGTCCAAAGACTGGTGGGGAAAAAACAATGCAGAAAGAATACTCCTTCCAAAGAATGCCTCCTAGATACTTCTCTTTCACAATCACCACCCATCAATTCATTTCTTCCTCCTTTAGGGGGTACAATAAAAAATTATTCTATTGAATTTTATTTTCAAGCTTTACTTTCATGGTAATGTTTATTTATTTATTTATTTTCAATAGGTACTTTTTTAATTTATGAAAATTTGTGAAAATACTGTCTGAGTAGTGAATTTGAGCTAATAAAATGGAAGTAGCAAATGTAGATAATTTATTAATGGAATTTATCTCTGTAGAAAAAAAGAGAAGGGAGTAATGCCCAAAGAAGAAATGCAACAGAAGATGAATAAAAGGTTATTGTTTATTGGGGGCGGGTGGGTAGGAGATTACTTGAATAAGTCTATTTTTTAGAAGAAAGAGCTGATGTACAGGGAGTGGTTGATGGTAAAAGGATAACTGATGAAGTGGAAGAAGAGAGACCTATAGCACAGGTAGACAATTATCCCTAGGGAGAAGCAGGGACTGGGGTTAGGGTGGGTACAGATGCAGACACGCTTTTAAGTGGAGAGAAGCTAAGTGAAGGGTTATTCACAATTTTCTTTTTAGAAAATACTGTTCTGATATTAGGGAGCTGAAGACATCATGACTTTCAAGACTATAAGGCATAAATAGGTTTTGAGGCATGTTTTGCTTGGTGATTCCCTTTAACAGTAAAACAAGATCCTGATCTATTTAAACAAGGTCACTCAATTAAAATAGTGACTCATTTGTGGTAAGCCCTGTCAAAATATTTAAGTTGTGTGCTCTTAAATTAGTTACTATCAATATTATGAGTCTCTGGTTTGTAGATAGATACCTGGAAACAGAAAACATTAGCTTCAGTCTGGTTTTGTGACTATTGTCTTAAGCAAGTATGATAACTCAGCAGGCCTCAGTTTCCTCACCAGTAAAATTAGAGGATTATAAAATAAAGGGAATATCTTCTCTTCCAGCTCTAGAATTCTGTAATCTATGGCTTTGCTAGGTTTCTAAAAGCAAGGAATCAAAATTTGGGGAAATCCTATTATAAGATTTTCTCTTACATCAAGGCAGAAGTTGATGAATTTAAATTAAAAACACATGAGATTAATAGATCAGCTTTATTTCAGAAAAGAACAAGTATAAAGGAGATTATCAGATCACATGGGCCTGACATCATGGATCATCTCGGGCAGTATCCAATTCTATTAATGACTTCTAGAATAATTATTTGACCTCTAAAAGACTGATTTTATTTTTCACAATGAGAAGTAAAAATATTATGTTCTTTTTAATACTAATCATTCAATCCAACACAACAATTTATATAGATGTCAAGTACTATTAGTACAGTGCACCTTGCACTGCAATAAAATTCTGCCATGCTTTTCATTAAATAAAAAAGCATTTTAGTATTAAATCCATTAAAGCACTGAAATATCAAACAAATGAAATAACTAACATTCATTACATTGAATTGAATCTATTCAACATTTTTATTAAACTTAGACTTCTGTAATTAAAATAAGAAGCGCATGTTTTGTAACAATGAGCTTGACTACATGTGATAGTCTAAGTTCTTTACTGGGACAGACATCCACAAGATGATACACCAATGAGATCCTAAAGATTTATACAGTATAGTTATATAAAAAATTATACCATAACTTTATAAGGGCTATAAAAAGTACTAGTTGAACTACCAAAGAAAGAAGTAACCTTTAAGACAATATATACTTCCAACCGCTGATAATTATTTCCCTTATTTCAACAACTATTAATCATATAAAATGTACAAAGAGCAGATGCCTGTCATTAGACAACTTATCTCATCTTTAGCACTTGTTATAAATGAATGTTCAAAATCTGATTGCTGAATTAACTAATTAATTAAAAATAAAAGAAGTTTCTGGTCTCAAGGGTCCTGTAGCAATACACCACAGGTAACAAAATTATGAACACATTTCCACAAATGGCAAATGATAATAAGTTTTACTTACATCTAATCACACACTGGACATTGTTCTAATTACTTTTTCTCCTTCAATTTTCCCATTTTCATCTGGTACTATTATAGTCATTCCCATTTCACCTATGAAACAACTGAGGCTTAGTACAGGTAGGTGAGTTCTTCAAAGTCACAGAGCGAATCACAAAGGTTGGAACATAAATCCAGGCAGTCTCACCCCAGAACCAATGCCCCTAACTACCACAGCAGCTGTTTCATCTCAGTCCCTTTGTTGTTCATTCTGCAGTTGTGTCTGTGTGTGTATGTGTGTGTATATGTGTGTGTTTTCAAACTGAGGATATAGAACTGCAGACTTCACTTGCAAAACATATGTAAATATTCTATATTATGTCTCCTCTAGACGCCTGCATACTCTTCTTTCTTTTGCTTGTCTGCTCTCCTCCATGTATCCAAATTCTTTGACACTAGCTTAAACCCCACCACTCTCGTGGGACTCTCTCCCTCCTACAACTCTGATTGCAGCTGACTACAGGTATTATTTAATTGGTTAACTTGTTTATTCTGTCTCCAAAGCTAGAGTGAAAGTACATTGAGATTAAGAACATGTATACTTCAATCCGTCACAATGTCTAGTTGTTAATTGATTAAATTCATCTGGATATTCAAGTTACCACAGTAAGCAAAGCTCAACTGAAACTAATGATATATTCATCTGCTATAAAGTCTGTTTATCCACTGATTAATCTCCAGAATTCCCCAGTTTCTAGGGGAAAGAACAGTTTAGATTTTAACTGTATTTAAAATAAACATGAAACCTGATGTGCTCAGCCACCCACACATACCCTCACATATGAATGGTATGTAATAGAAATGGTCTTTCCATGAAAATGAAAACCAATATAAGGCAAATTATCTTAAATTTCATTTAAGTCAAATAATCAACCTAAAACTTTAAAATAAGCAAAGATAATGCTAGATTTTGCCAGTTAGGAAAAAAAAAAAAATTTGTCAAGCTTTAAATTGCAGAATTCTCCTAGTAATTATAAGATTAGCAGTTCTAGCAGTTCTAAATTTCTCATCTCAGTGGTACAGATAGGATATTTTTTCATTAGTGACTTAGCTGCTTAAGTTTTTAAAAGCTGGACTTTAAAATTATTGAGCTTGCCTTGGCATGATTCGGTTTTGGGGTATGTTTAACCTTTGGTAGGACTGTGAAGCCAGTGGACACCTCACAATAGGAAGAAGTGTGTATTACATTTACTGTTTATACCAATAGTCATGTATTCCATAGGAACAAAATTGTAGCTTTTCCATTAAGATGTCTACTGAACACAATGACTCCAAATCAAAGGAAGCTTGTTAGCAAAGGTACAATGTAGACCACATTGCCAGTGCATCTGTTCTAAGGTTCCCCAATGAAGCAGCAGCCACATAGTATATTAGAAAAGTTATCCCCCTTTATGCCATGACCAACTCTCAGACAGATGTTGAGTTATTTGGCACCTCATTAAAGGACAAATAGTTTGAGAAGCAGCATGTGTTTTCCTTGGCTTCAATTCCAAACATACTTCATATTATGAAGCATTTTATGTTTCAAAAAATTACAACTTCATTTTATTTATTTTTTTAGCAATTAGCTTTGAGTTACCTACAGTATTAATATTGAATCTGATACCTTAATAATATAGTTTGAAATTCTCCATTACTCATTCTATAAGGCTAGACAAAAACATGAAAACAACAACAACACTACAGGCCAATATTCTTGAGGAACAGAGAAACATAAATCCTCAACAAAACACTAGCAAATTGGAACCAACAGTACATCAAAAAGATAATACACCATGATCAAGTGGGATTTATCCCAGGAATGCAAAGATGATTCAATATATGCAAATCAATAAATGTGATACATCATAAAAGAATGAAGGATCAAAACCATCTCATTAGGTCACTAGACAAAGAAAAGGCATGTGATAGAATTCAACATCCCTTCATGATAAAAACCCTCATGAAATTAGGCATAGAAGAGACATACCTCAACAAAATGAGGGCCATATACCACAAAGATACAGCTAACGTCATACTGAATGGGGAAAGCTGAAAGTCTTCTCTCTAAAAGCTGGAACAAGACAAGGATGCCCACTCTCACTGCTCCTATTCAACATAGTATTGGAAGTCCTAGCCAGAACCATCAGGCAAAAGAATGAAATTGAAAATGAGAATGTCAAATTGCCCTTCTTTGCAGATGGTGTAATTCAATATCTAGAAAAAAATCTATAGACTCCACAAAAAAACTGAGATCTAATAAATTAATAAATTCAGTAAAGTTTCATGATATAATATCAATATACAAAAATCAGTATTGTTTGTATACATTAATAATAAACTAGTTGAGAAAGAAATCAAGAAGGCAACACAAGTTGTAACAGCTAAAAAATAAAATTAAATACTTAGGAATAAATTTAACCAAGGAAGTGAAAGAACTCTGCAAGGAAAACTACAAAACACTGACGAAAGAAATTGAGGATAACACAAACAAATGGAAAGACATCCCCTGCTCATGAATCAAAAGAATAAATCATCAAAATAACCATACTGTCCAAAGCAATTTGCAGATTCAATATAATTCCAATCAAAATAGCAATGCCATTTTTTCACATAAATAGAAAAAACAATCCTAAAATTCATGTGTTAACAAAGAAGAGTCTGAACTGCCAAAGCAATCCTAAGCAAAAGAAACAAAGCTGGAGGCACCACATTACCTGACTTCAAAATATATTACAAGACTGTCATAACTAAAACAGCATGGTTTTTGTATAAAAACAAACACATACACCACGGGACAAAGTAGCAAACCCAGAAATAAATTCACGTATTTTCAACCAAAGGATTTTTGACAAAGGAAGCAAGAATATATATTGGAGAAAGAACATTCTCTTCAATAAATGGTGCTAGGAAAATTGGTCGCCACATGCAGAAGAATGAAACTAGACCCCTAACTCTCACCAAATACAAAAATCAACTCAGGGTAGATTAAAGACTTATACATAAGACCTGAAACTATAAAAACTGCTAGAAGAAAACAAAGGAGAAACACTTCTGGACATAGGTCTAGAAAAGATTTTATGGCTAAGACCTCAAAAGCACGGGCAACAAAAACAAAAATAGACAAATGAGACTACAGTAAATTTAAAAGTGTCTTCACAGCAAAGGTAACAATCAACTTAGTGAACAGACAATCTGTTGACTGGAATAATCTATTTGCAAACTATTCATCTAATAAGAGACTAATATCCAGATATAGAAGGAACTCAAACAAGTTAAAAAAAATCTCATTGAAAAATGGGCAAGCACATAAATTGACATTTCTCAAAAGAAGACAGACAAATGGCAAATAGGTATATGAAAATAAGTGCTGGGCTGGGCATGGTGGCTCATGCCTGTAATCCCAGCATTTTGGGAGGCCGAGGCAGGTGGATTGCTTGAGATCAGAAGTTTGAGACCAGCCTGGGCAACATGGCAAAACCCCATCTCTTCAAAAAATACAAAAATTAGCCAAATATGCTGGTGGGCACCTGTAGTCCTGGCTACTCTGGAGGCTAAGGTGGGAAGATCTCTGGAGTCTGGGAGGCAGAGGCTGCAGTGAGCCAA
This sequence comes from Homo sapiens, assembly GCF_000001405.40. Classification (NCBI taxonomy): domain Eukaryota; kingdom Metazoa; phylum Chordata; class Mammalia; order Primates; family Hominidae; genus Homo; species Homo sapiens. Next base: position 65,887,484 of record NC_000001.11, on the reverse strand, counting down.
GATTGCACCACTGTACTCCAGCCAGGGTGAAAGAGTGAGACCCTGTAAAAAAAAAAAAAAAAAAAAAAAACAGAAGAAAAAGAAAAAGAAAGAAAAGAAGGAAGGAAGGAAGGGAGGGAGGGAGGGAAAGAGAGAGAGAAAGAAAATGAAAGAAAAGAAGGAAGGAAGGGAGGGAGGGAGGGAAAGAGAGAGAGAGAAAGAAAAAGAAAGAAAGAAGGAAGGAAAGAAAGAAAGAAAAGAAAGAAAGAAAGAAAGAAAGAAAGAAAGAAAGAAAGAAAGAAAGAAAGAAAGAAAGAAAAAGGGAGGGAGGGAGGGAAGGAAGGAAGGAAGGAAAGGAAAGGAGGGAGAGAGGGAGGGAAGGAGGGAGGGAGGGAAAAATGGGAAATGTACATCGAAACCACAATGTGATATAATCTTACCCAGTTGAACGACTATTAAAACAAAAAAAATAGCAGATGCTGGTGAGAATGTGAAGAAAAGTGAACTCTTACACACTGTTGGTGGGAATGTAAATTAGTAAAACACTATGAAAAACAGTATGAAGATTTCTCAACTAAAAATACAACAAAAATATAATTTAGCAATCCCACTACTAGGTATTTCTCCAATGGAAAATAAATAAGTGTATAAAAGGGATGCTGCACTTACATGTTTATCGCTGCATTGTTCACAATAGCAAAGATATGGAATCCACCTAAGCTTCTATAAACAAATGGATTGAGAAAATGTGGTATACGTACATGATAGAATACTACTGAGCCATAAAAATGAAATAATGTCATTTGCAGCAACATGGATGGAAATGGAGGTCATTATGTTAAGTGAAATATACCAGGCACAGAAAGACAAATATCACATATTCTCACTCATGTAAGAACCAAAAGTTGGTCTCATGTAGGTAGACAGTAGAATAATAGATACCAGAGGCTGAGAAGGGTGTGTAAGTAGATGGGTAGGGAGATAAAAAGAGGTTGGTTATGAGTACAGGCATAGAGTTAGATAGAAGGAATAAGTTCTAATGTTCAATAGCAGAATAGTGTGACTATAGTTAACAACACTGTATTGTATATTTCAGAACAGCTAGAAGAAAGTACTTGAAATGTTCCTAATACATAGAAATAATACATATTCAAGGTGATACACACTCCAAATACTCTGACTTGATCATTAGAGTCAGCGCATATAACAAAATACCACATGTACCCCATAAATACATACAAATATTATGACAATTAGAAAATTGAAAGATGAAAAAATAATAGTTTGTATAATATTTTCTAGTTTACAAAGCATTTTCTTTTTTTTTGGATAGATTCAGCAATTTATTTTTTTGTTTTAACAATAGATTTTATTTAATTAAATATATACAAATGTCATTTCAAAATGTAATTAATATTCAAAAATGATGAGATATTTTATGTTCCTTTTTTCATACTAACTCTCTGAAATCCAGAATGTATCTTCAACTTAGAGCACATACCTCAATTCAAACTGGCCGAATTTTAGGTACTCACTAGTCACATATGGCTAGTGGCTGTCTTATTAGCCAGCACAGATCTACAGAATTCTTAACACAGCAAGGGATGCTATTATTATTATTATTATTATTATTATTATTATTATTATTATACGTTAAGTTTTAGGGTACATGTGCACAACATGCAGGTTTGTTACATATGTATACATGTGCCATGTTGGTGTGCTGCACCCATTAACTCATCACTTACATTAGGTATATCTCCTAATGCTTTCCCTCCCCACTTCCCCCACCCCACAACAGGCCCCAGTGTGTGATGTTCCCCGCCCTGTGTCCAAGTGTTCTCATTGTTCAATTCCAACCTATGAGTGAGAACATGTGGTGTTTGGTTTTTTGTTCTTGTGATAGTTTGCTGAGAATGATCGTTTCCGGCTTCATCCATGTCCCTACAAAGGACGTGAACTCATCCTTTTTTATGGCTTCATAGTATTCCATGGTGTATATGTGCCACATTTTCTTAATCCAGTCTATCATTGATGGAAATTTGGGTTGGTTCCAAGTCTTTACTATTGTGAATAGTGCTGCAAAAAACATACGTGTGCATGTGTCTTTATAGCAGCATGATTTATAATCCTTTGGGTATATACCCAGTAATGGGATGGCTGGGTCAAATGGTATTTCTAGTTCTAGATACTTGAGGAATCGCCACACTGTCTTCCACAATGGTTGAGCTAGTTTACAGTCCCACCAACAGTGTAAAAGTGTTCCTATTTCTTCACATCCTCTCCAGCACCTGTTGTTTCCTGACTTTTTAATGATCACCATTCTAACTGGTGTGAGATGGTATTTCATTGTGGTTTTGATTTGCATTTCTCTGATGGCCAGTGATGATGAGCATTTTTTCATGTGTCTGTTGGCTGCATAAATGTCCTCTTTTGAGAAGTGTCTGTTCATCTCCTTTGCCCACTTTTTGATGGGGTTGTTTGTTTTTTTCTTGTAAATTTATTTGAGTTATTTGTAGATTCTGGATATTAGCCCTTTATTAGATGAGTAGATTGCAAAACTTTTCTCCCATTCTGTAGGTTGCCTGTTCACTCTGATGGTAGTTTCTTTTGCTGTGCAGAAGCTCCTTAGTTTAATTAGATCCCATTTGTCAACTTTGGCCTTTGTTGCCATTGCTTTTGGTGTTTTAGACATGAAGTCCTTGCCCATGCCTATGTCCTGAATGGTATTGCCTAGGTTTTCCTCTAGGGTTTTCATGGTTTTAGGTCTAACATTCAAGTCTTTAATCCATCTTGAATTAATTTTTGTATAAGGTGTAAGGAAGGGATCCAGTTTCAGCTTTCTACATATGGCTAGCCAGTTTTCCCAGCACCATTTATTAAATAGGGAATCCTTTCCCCATTCCTTGTTTTTGTCAGGTTTATCAAAGATCAGATGGTTGTAGATGTGTGGTATTATTTCTGAGGGCTCTGTTCTGTTCCATTGGTCTATATGTCTGTTTTGGTACCAGTACCATGCTGTTTTGGTTACCATGGCCTTGTAGTATAGTTTGAAGTCAGGTAGCATGATGCCTCCAGCTTTGTTCTTTTGGCTTAGGATTCCTGGACACATACACCCTCCCAGGACTAAACCAGGAAGAACTTGAATCCCTGAATAGACCAATAACAGGCTCTCAAATTGAGGCAATAATTAATAGCCTACCAACCAAAAAAAGCCCAAGACCAGATGGATTCACAGCCAAATTCTACCAGAGGTACAAGGAGGAGCTGGTACCATTCCTTCTGAAACTATTCCAATCAATAGAAAACGAGGGAATCCTCCCTAACTCATTTTATGAGGCCAGCATCATCCTGATACCAAAGCCTGGCAGAGACACAACCAAAAAAGAGAATTTTAGACCAATATCCTTGATGAACATTGATGCAAAAATCCTCAATAAAATACTGGCAAACCAAATCCAGCAGCACATCAAAAAGCTTATCCACCATGATCAAGTGGGCTTCATCCCTGGGATGCAAGGCTGGTTCAACACACGCACATCAATAAATGTAATCCAGCATATAAACAGAACCAAAGACAAAAACCACATGATTATCTCAATAGATGCAGAAAAGGCCTTTGACAAAATTCAACGGCCATTCATGCTGAAAACTCTCAATAAATTAGGTATTGATGGGACGTATCTCAAAATAATAAGAGATATTTATGACAAACCCACAGCCAATATCATACTGAATGGGCACAAACTGGAAGCATTCCCTTTGAAAACTGGCACAAGACAGGGATGCCCTCTCTCACCACTCCTATTCAACATAGTGTTGGAAGTTCTGGCCAGGGCAATTAGGCAGGAGAAAGAAATAAAGGGTATTCAATTAGGAAAAGAGGAAGTCAAATTCTCCCTGTTTGCAGATGACATGATTGTATATCTAGAAAACCCCATTGTCTCAGCCCAAAATCTCCTTAAATTGATAAGCAACTTCAGCAAAGTCTCAGGATACAAAATCAATGTACAAAAATCACAAGCATTCTTATACACCAATAACAGACAAACAGAGAGCCAAATCATGAGTGAACTCCCATTCACAATTGCTTCAAAGAGAATAAAATACCTAGGAATCTAACTTACAAGGGATGTGAGGGACCTCTTCAAGGAGAACTATAAACCACTGCTCAGCGAAATAAAAGAGGATACAAACAAATGGAAGAACATTCCATGCTCATGGGTAGGAAGAATCAATATTGTGAAAATGGCCATACTGCCCAAAGTAATTTATAGATTCAATGCCATCCCCATCAAGCTACCAATGACTTTCTTCACAGAATTGGAAAAAACTACTTTAAAGTTCATATGGAACCAAAAAAGAGCCCGCATTTCCAAGACAAAGCATTTTCATAACAGGAGTCTCATCTAATTCTCTTAACCTATGAAGCATATGATTGTTAGTCATATTTTAAAGGTGGGCAAATGAAGCTCACAAAGGACAAATGGTTCGCCCAAGGTCAGATAAATAATAATGTGATGCAGGAAAGATTCAAATGAAGACATAAATTCCAAGTTCAGTGCTTCTTCCACTTTTATGGCCTCTAATGAGATGAGTTCATTTGTGTCTTAAAGGCATATTGGTCTTCAACATCTCCTACTAAAATTCAAACCTTCCTGTTATCTGTTGAATTATTAAATTGCTTTTTTAATCTTTATTTTAAAACATGTTTGTGTTCACACACATATATACATATAAAATATAAAAACATGTAAAACATTAAGCATTATTCATCATTCTATGAATTGATCCCTGTACACACACACACACACACACACACACATATTTTTCAAATAGTTGCCATAAACAAGAAAATTCTATTTAAAATCTTTTTTAAATGTACCCTTACATTATAAATCTTTTACTATGCAGCTATGCAACATTAATAATGGTTATTGACTGCATAATATTCCATTATGTCTTCACCATAATTACTTAACCATTTGCATATTAGACATTGAGATTATATCCAGGTTCATATTAGAGAATATGCTGTTGAGAAAAAAAGTTCTTACACTTCTGTGAGAAGACTAGTTATTTGCTAGGTATTATAATAAGTAACAACCCAGCTGAGTTTAAATTTACATAATCAATCAATGACAATTCACTTCAATAAACATGTTTCTGAAACCTAGTCAGTGACAGCTCAGAATTCTGAAAGTCAGCCAGTTGGAAACAGCTTCAGTTTAGTAATTGCGTTTTTAAAGTCAGCAACAGATGCACACTGGTAACCATGCTCCTACAACTAAGGGTCAGCCAATCACTAAACAGTGACATCTCAGAAGAACTTCAAATTTCTGGACTCCACACTGCCAAAAACCCATATAAAATCAGCTTCATGCTTTGCTCAGAAAGGCTGAGCCTCACAAGCAAGGCTTTCCCTTGCTTAAAATATTAATAAATTCAGTATTTTATTTCAGATATTGAGTGGTGGTCTTTTCTTGCAAAACAGATGATAACTTGTACAGGTAGATTTGCTCTTCCTTTTAATTGTTGAAGAACAAATTCTCAGGAAAGCACTTATTAGATCAAATAGCATAATGATATATAATGTCATGCAATCTTTCTCAAGAGTTATTTTGGTTTATAATGCCATTAGCACTGTATAAATGTATCTGTGCCATACCAACTTTAACAATACTGGAGGCTATAATATTTTTAAATGTTTGCTGATTTAGCAAGCATAAATTGGTAACTTAAGGTTGCTTTAATTAGTGTGTTTAGATAATTTTTTAAGAGTACAGATTAGCATAAGAGTATAAGACCATAAAGGATCCCAGGAAAGGGAACTGAGAAGGCACAAAAGCAAAACTATGCCCATTGTGGGTCGTATTGGCAATTATAGACAAGAGAAGACAATTAATCTTTATAACAATCAGCCAGCACACGTGCTTTTAAAGAAATGGTGTTTGTAAATTGCTCTTTCTGGGAAGTAGATTATGAAACTGAGGTAAGCATTCCAGAAAATTATTAGGGAGTACTCTCAGGATCTGCATCTGTGGAAGTGAGGACAGGAAGCAGGTCTGGCAGGCGGAGATGCTAGGTTTTGGTGCCAACCACAGTCTCAACAACAGTCACAATGAACCCCATGGCTGCCCCAGCCAGGGTCCAAGCAAACCAGGCCTTTTATACCTCCACAATGATCAGTAACTGAATGCAGGCTGCCCAGAAAGTGAACAGGACTTTGGTGAGGGAAAATGACTAAGGGAAATTCCTGAGAGATCTGAGCCATCCAACTGTCCTGAAAAAGGAGGAGTCTGCATGGTGTAGTCTAGCATGCAGAAGAGAAACAAAGAATGCACTCAAAGGATTTAATTTAAGAGCACTGAATGAAGGGACATTTTATAGAGGTACAGGCAGGGTTATGGAAACTGACAAGGAATGGTGAAGCACCCAAGGACTAGTCACAATGAGGAGTTGTTACCATCCCTAGGCCTGCAGGGCAAGGAAAGGTACAGTGCTACTGAAAGCTGACAAAAGCTGAAGTCAGCAATGAGGGGGTCGCCTCATTATCTCACAGTAATTAAAGGAAAATAGGCTCTGCAAACACTGTGGCCTAGGAAGGAGAAAGAGAGGTAAGAAATACCTCAATTACTCTTCATTTTCCCTGGCTTCTTCTATTACTGCTTCCCATAGGCAAAAATCAAATGCAGTCCAAAGATCAAGGGAGCACTGTCTTTGTCTGCTCAGGTTGCTGTAATAAAATACCATAGACTGGGTAGCTTATTAACAACACAAATTTATTTCCCACTGTTCTGAAGGCTGGCACGTCCAAGATCAAAGCACTGGTAGATCCGGTGTCTGCTGAGGGATCCCGTCCTCATTCACAAATAGTGCTTTTTCACCATGTCCTCATATAGCAGAAGGGGCGAGGGGTCCCTCTGGGGTCACTTTTATGAAGGCATTAATCTCATGCATAAGGGCTGCATCCTCATCACCTAATCATCTCCCAAAGGCCAACCTCCTAATACCATCACCTTGAGGATTAGGATTTCAGCATGTGAATGTTGATGTGGGGACACCCACATTCAGACCATAACAAGAGGTCCTAGAGAGATCAACCTCCTACAGCACAGAGAACAGCAGAGAATGGATCTGAAGGAGTGAGCAGCATGACCAGCATAAGCATGGAAATACTTTTCTACTTTAAAAGATTTATATTACATTGATGGCCACCTACTCAGGCCTGGTATGAATCACCCTTGTCTAAATTCTGAGTCCTTACTCGTCATGAAGCAGCAGAGGTGTTCAGAGTACCCAGCATCACTGGAGACTGCTCTTGACCAGGTATTAAAGGGAAGCTGAAGCAGCATAGCTTGAGCAATTGCCCACATTATTTCCCTGGCCAGACTTCAAATCTAGCAAATGAAGGTACAAACAGTAACAAGCCAGACACAGACACATCAGCATCACCTTTGCAAGTCTTGTAGTAACCATGATGCATATTAATGTTTTGGGAAGCAGCAAATACAGATGTTTTGGGGAAGGCAAGCCAACTGCATTTTTCCTTTGTAATTCCAAGGTCCTTATATGATGAAGGAATGATACATAGACCAAGAACAGCATTAACACTATGCTGGTCTGTGCAAACAATGAGAAGAGAAAGATGGATACAACCAATCTTCAGAAATCTGGGAAGTAAACAGCCCTTAAGTTTGGTTAGGAATACAGTTCAAATGTATAAATGACTTTGAGCTCATGCAGTGAACAATTATCTTTCCACTTTCTTCCATATTCCTTGTACTACAGCTATACAGGCAAGTCATTGTGCCTGATATACAATTCCCGTTGTAGTTTTCATGCTTTTATTTATGTTTAGCCTGTGCCTAAATGCCTACCTAACTGGGTTCTAGTTTCCTATTTCTTTCAAAACCCAGCTCACGTCACATTCTTTTTCTTAGCTTTTCTAGACTTCTGATTCCTCCAGTCCAAATTAAATCTCTTCTCATATTTTTCTATAATACATTTTATACATATTTACCTTATAGAATTATGTTTTATATGTTATTTATTTATGAACTTGTCTCTTCTTCTACTGGTCTGTTTATTTTATATATATTTCAGTCACAATTACTTAGCAGGAGCTTAACATTTTTAAAACAAAGAAATGACCAAGTAAAATTTCATACAAAATCTTATAAATATCAGAAAAAAAATAGCACATACCTGCACCTGCTACACAGTAGTTATCTGTTAGTTCTGGGCCTGTTTTCCCTGGGACCCACTCTTTTCCCTTCCCTGCTTTGGGTTTGTATTTTATGGCCTGGGAGGAAGAATTTTGACTACTGCATATCTCAGGCACCCCTGACAGCTAACTCCTGAGTTCAGCCAATAAAATCACCAGTGGGAGTCTAGAGGGTAAAAGGAGGGAAGAAACCAGGGTGTGACCTTTCTGTGTCTCAGTTTCTTCATTTCTAAACTGGGAATAAAATTTTGCATAAAGTAGACATCAAGATAACTATGTAAAGACTTTAGATAATACCTGGCACATCATAGCACTCAAAAAATACTCTCATTATTTAAGTATGTTCCAAAAGTTTTCATATTGTCTTTATAATTTTTTTTATTTTACTTTAACTTTGGGGATACATGTGCTTAACATGCAGGTTAGTTACATAGGTATACATGTGCCATAGTGGTGTGCTGCACCTATCAACCTGTCATCTAGGTTTTAAGCCCCACATGCCTTAGGTATTTGTCCTAATGCTCTCCCTCCCCTTTCCCCCGACTCCCCAACAGGCTCTGGTGTGTGATGTTCCCCTCCCTGTGTCCATGTGTTCTCATTGTTCAACTCTCACTCATGAGTGAGAACATGCAGTGTTTGGTTTTCTGTTCCTGAGTTAATTTGCTGAGGATGATAGTTTCCAGCTTCATCCACGTCCCTGCAAAGGACATGAACTCATCCTTTTTTATGGCTGCATAGTATTCCATGACGTATATGTGCCACATTTTCTTTATCCAGTCTAACATTGATGGGCATTTGGGTGGGTTCCAAGTATTTGCAATTGTAAATAGTGCAGCAATAAACATAAGTGTGCATGTGTCTTTATAGTAGAATGATATATAATCCTTTGGGTACATACCCAGTAATGGGATTGCTGGGTCAAATGATATTTCTGGTTCTAGATCCTTGAGGAATTGCCACACTGTCTTCCATAATGGTTGAACTAATTTACACTCCCTCCAACAATGTAAAAGTGTTCCTATTTCTCCACATCCTCTCCAGCATCTGTTGTTTCCTGACTTTTTAATGGTCACCATTCTAACTGGCATGAGATGTTATCTCACTGTGGTTTTGATTTGCATTTATCTAATGACCAATGATAATGAGCTTTTTTCATGTTTGTTGGCTGCATAAATGTCTTCTTTTGATAAATGTCTGTTCATATCCTTTGCCCACTTTTTGATAGGTTGTTTTTTTTTTCTTGTAAATTTGTTTATTTTACTTGTAGATTCTGGATATTGGACCTTTCTCAGATGAATAGATTGCAAACATTTTTGCCCATTCTGTAGGCTGCCTATTAGCTCTGATGATAGTTTCTTTTGCTGTGCAGAACCTCTTTAGTTTAATTAGATGCCATTTGTCAATTTTGGCTTTTGTCGCAATTGCTTTTGGTGTTTTAGTCATGAAATCTTTGCCCTTGCCTATGTCCTGAATGGTATTACCTAGGTTTTCTTCTAGGGTTTTTATGGTTTTAGGTTTTATGTTTAAGTCTTTAATCCATCTTGAGTTAATTTTTGTATAGGGTGTAAGGAATGGGTCCAGTTTCTATTTTCTGCATATGACTAGTCAGTTTTCCCAGCACTATTTATTTATTTATTTATTTATTTATTTATTTATTTATTTTTTAGACAGAGTCTTGCTCTATCGCCCAGGCTGGGGTACAGTGGCATGATCTTGGCTCACTGCAAACTCTGCCTCCCAGGGTCATGCCATTCTCCTGCCTCAGCCTCCCAAGTAGCTGGGACTACAGGCGCCTGCCACCACGCCCAGCTAATTCTTTGTATTTTTAGTAGAGATGGAGTTTCACCGTGTTAGCCAGGATGGTCTCAATCTCCTGACCTCATGATCCGCCCATCTCAGCCTCCCAAAGTGCTGGGATTACAGGCGTGAGCCACTGCACCCGGCCCCCAGCACCATTTATTAAATAGAGAATCATTTCCTCATTGCTTGTTTGTGTCAAAGTTTGTCAAAGATGAGATGGTTTTAGATGTGTGGTGTTATTTCTGAGTCCTCTGTTCTGTCCCATTGGTCTATATGTCTGTTTTGGTACCAGTACCATGCTGTTTTGGTTACTGTAGCCTTGTAGTATAGTTTGAAGTTAGGTAGCATGATGCCTCCAGCTGTTCTTTTTGCTTAGTATTGTCTTGGCTATACAGGCTCTTTTTTGGTTCCATATGAAATTTAAAACAGTTTTTTTCTAGTTCTGTGAAGAAAGTCAATGGTAGCATGGTGGTGATTGCATTCAATCTATAAATTACTTTGGGCAGTATGGCCATTTTCATGATATTGATTCATCCTATCCACGAGCATGGACTCTTTTTCCATTTGCTTGTGTCCTCTCTTAATTCCTTGAGCAGTGGTTTGTAGTTCTCCTTGAAGAGGTCCTTCTTCACGTCCCTTGTAAGTTGTATTTCTAGATATTTTATTTTTTTGTAGCAATTATGAATGATCACACTAATTTGAAAATGGACAGAAACACACTTTCAGGCTATATTTTCCAACCACGGAAATATTTCATATTGTATGATTATAAGTAACAGTTATTAATAATTCTATATACATACAATGTGTCATAAATTATGAAAATTTATTAATCAACAGCTGTTAGACCATATATTTGGGGAACTCTGGCCACCAATAATTTAAATAATTTACTAATGAGAACTCCGAAGAATTTAAACACTCACTGACACCTATATAAAAAGATTTACTACTAAATACAATAATATTTCCATTTTATGTTTCTAATTTAACAAATTTAACTCTAAAAATAAAACTTCATACACATATGTATGTATGTACATGTAATATGTATATATATATTTGTTTTAACTATTTGACAAAATATTAAGTATTGCTCCATTGTGTGCTATCATATTTATAAACTTTACAATCCAGAAAAACAGATACTGACAACTTTTTAGGGACAATATTTCAGTTCATTGAATTTCTGTAAGTATTGACAAGCATTAAATTATACACAGAAATGTTTATAATAAAAAGCATACCGTGAATCTATTGGTGAGTAGTGAGAAAATATAAAATAATTTGATTATTATAAAGTAATTATTAAGTGATTCAGGCTAAAAATTAAGATTTAGGATATGTAATAAAACTCCTTTCATCTGCACTGTTCTTTAAATTCTAAAAAAACTTCCGCCCCCACAACCTTATATCAATTTTTGAACTACTTTGACTATCCATGAAAATAAATAAAGCAATTGAATGAAGATGAGAGTACAATATGAAGAAAAAAATCTTTCTTTTTTTTTCCCCATTTTTTTTTTAATTATACTTTAAGTTTTAGGGTACATGTGCACATTGTGCAGGTTAGTTACATATGTATACATGTACCATGCTGGTGCGCTGCACCCAATAACTCGTCATCCAACATTAGGTATACCTCCCAATGCTATCCCTCCCCCCTCCCCCCACCCCACCACAGTCCCCAGAGTGTGATGTTCCCCTTCCTGTGTCCATGTGATCTCATTGTTCAGTTCCCACCTATGAGTGAGAATATGCGGTGTTTGCTTTTTTGTTCTTGCAATAGTTTACTGAGAATGATGATTTCCAATTTCATCCAGGTCCCTACAAAGGACATGAACTCATCATTTTTTATGGCTGCATAGTATTCCATGGTGTATATGTGCCACATTTTCTTAATCCAGTCTATCATTGTTGGACATTTGGGTTGGTTCCAAGTCTTTGCTATTGTGAATAATGCCGCAATAAACATATGTGTGCATGTGTCTTTATAGCAGCATGATTTATAGTCATTTGGGTATATACCCAGTAATGGGATGGCTGGGTCAAATGGTATTTCTAGTTCTAGATCCCTGAGGAATCGCCACACTGACTTCCACAATGGTTGAACTAGTTTACAGTCCCACCAACAGTGTAAAAGTGTTCCTACTTCTCCACATCCTCTCCAGCACCTGTTGTTTCCTGACTTTTTAATGATTGCCATTCTAACTGGTGTGAGATGGTATCTCATAGTGGTTTTGATTTGCATTTCTCTGATGGCTAGTGATGATGAGCATTTTTTCATGTGTTTTTTGGCTGCATAAATGTCTTCTTTTGAGAAGTTTCTGTTCATGTCCTTCGCCCACTTTTTGATGGGGTTGTTTGTTTTTTTCTTGTACATTTGTTTGAGTTCATTGTAGATTCTGGATATTAGCCCTTTGTCAGATGAGTAGGTTGCGAAAATTTTCTCCCATTTTGTAGGTTGCCTGTTCACTCTGATGGTAGTTTCTTTTGCTGTGCAGAAGCTCTTTGGTTTAATTAGATCCCATTTGTCAATTTTGGCTTTTGTTGCCATTGCTTTTGGTGTTTTGGACATGAAGTCCTTGCCCATGCCTATGTCCTGAATGGTAATATTAGCCTAGGTTTTCTTCTAGGGTTTTTATGGTTTTAGGTCTAACGTTTAAATCTTTAATCCATCTTGAATTGATTTTTGTATAAGGTGTAAGGAAGGGATCCAGTTTCAGCTTTCTACATATGGCTAGCCAGTTTTCCCAGCACCATTTATTAAATAGGGAATCCTTTCCCCATTGCTTGTTTTTCTCAGGTTTGTCAAAGATCAGATAGTTGTAGGTATGCGGCGTTATTTCTGAGGGCTGTGTTCTGTTCCATTGATCTATATCTCTGTTTTGGTACCAGTACCGTGCTGTTTTGGTTACTGTAGCCTTGTAGTAGAGTTTGAAGTCAGGTAGTGTGATGCCTCCAGCTTTGTTCTTTGAAAACTGGCACAAGACAGGGATGCCCTCTCTCACCACTCCTATTCAACATAGTGTTGGAAGTTCTGGCCAGGGCAATTAGGCAGGAGAAAGAAATAAAGGGTATTCAATTAGGAAAAGAGGAAGTCAAATTCTCCCTGTTTGCAGACGACATGATTGTATATCTAGAAAACCCCATTGTCTCAGCCCAAAATCTCCTTAAGCTGATCAGCAACTTCAGCAAAGTCTCAGGATACAAAATCAATGTACAAAAATCACAAGCATTCTTATACACCAACAACAGACAAACAGAGAGCCAAATCATGAGTGAACTCCCATTCACAATTGCTTCAAAGAGAATAAAATACCTAGGAATCTAACTTACAAGGGATGTGAAGGACCTCTTCAAGGAGAACTACAAACCACTGCTCAAGGAAATAAAAGAGGATACAAACAAATGGAAGAACATTCCGTGCTCATGGGTAGGAAGAATCAATATCGTGAAAATGGCCATACTGCCCAAGGTAATTTACAGATTCAATGCCATCCCCATCAAGCTACCAATGACTTTCTTCACAGAATTGGAAAAAACTACTTTAAAGTTCATATGGAACCAAAAAAGAGCCCGCATCACCAAGTCAATCCTAAGCCGAAAAAAATCTTTCAAAGAATGTGTTTGAACAAACTATAGATAAGGAAAATAATCAGAATTGTTTTAAAAATCTCTACCTCTATTTATGAAATATATTTCAAGCCCTAACACATATATGTAGAATTCCACGTTTTCATAAAATGTTGGTCTTAGACAATGATCTTGGTAACCAGAGAATTGTTCATTCCATATACTCAACTAAAAGGGTTACTTTTTATTAAATTCTTCATTAATTTCCCAAACATTTTTAAATGTCTTTTTTATATTTCAAAGAAGTAACTGAGGAAAGTATGTGATGATTATTGTAATAACTGCATTGTACAACATAATTGTAGAAGATAAAAGCTTTAAACCAACTGGTCCTTAAAAAACTGGCTCTTGTCTCCAATCTCACACTTTATATCTACATATCACACTCTACCATCTTGGTCTTATTTTCTGGTGATCATTCTGATACCTAAAAATATTCAGTGATCCCTACCACAGAAAGTTCAAACAAATGTATCTGGCTCTTTGGGACATAATCCCCAACCTTTCTTTCCCGTCACGTTTCATTGCTGCCCCTACTCATCTTACTTCCCGAGTTCTATCTTGTGCTTGAGCCAGTCCCAACTTCCCTTTGAAGAACTCCCACTACACACAACTTCAAAATCTAGCAGACATCCCTATCTTTCTTGCCAGAGTAAAAGGACTTCCTTTTCTGAATTGTCAGTACGCTTTACTTACATCTGCACCATCCCTCCACAGCCCAGCATTTTTTACTTGAAATTGTTATAGTTTTACCTCCCCGTGTGGAATATGAGCTCTGGAAAAGCAGGGGCTTTTTGTTTTGGCATAGCACCAGTACTCGGCACATAGTAGTCCCTAGATTAATATGTTTGAATGAATGAATATTTATTTGCATATGAAGATGTGGATCCAATGCTAGCTCTGCAGGTCATTGAATAAATCATTAATCTCAAAATCCTCAGTCGTTTTATCAGTAAAGTGGGAAAAAATGATAACCTCTATATTCTTTCCTCACATGGAAGTTGTGAATATCACATGAGATGATATATGTGAAAGAATTTTCTTTACCTGCAATGTCCTACACAAATGCCTTTATTATACCTTTTTTATATCCCACCACAACGCTTAGTGTACAGTAGTTTGCACCAAGTACTTTTCATTCCATAAGTATTCAATGAAGCATGCTGACTGAGGACAGAGAAAATTCCACATCCATTAACACTGTCATTCTGTCCTCCTTTAAAAATTGTGATGCTTAATAGCTGCTTTTTCCTCTGCTTCACTAGACATTAAACAAACTGAGATTTACTTTGGCAATCTATTCATTGAGTGCTGAGGATTATAAAGCTGCTGTAACTCTTTGATCTAAGTTCTAAGTAAGATAGCGTTAAACCATCACTGTAATCTGATTACTTCCTGTTCTCAGAGTGAGCCCAGTGTCAACTGAAACATGGACCCTACCGAGAAGTATCTACTCATAATTTTAAGAACTGTAAATTATTTGAGGCCAGAATCTGTCTCCTGACTGCAGTTCATTATTTGTCATTAATTATTAACAATTATTCAATAAATTGCACATGTAATTTTATCACTCGTAAATGTGACCACTTTCCTGAGAATGATTTCAGGAAAAAATCTAAGTAATTTGGTGAGCAGTCAGGAAGAAAATTTTTAAAACTTCACATTTCCTGAAATATGACTATATCTGCACACATAAATTTGGGGAAAAACCTGTGAGTTTGATAAGCCCAAAGGAAGAAATTGAATAACTTATACACAATTTATGTAGGTTTTTGCCATAAAATCATGCATGAAACCAAAATAGTAACCATTAGAGCACAATTTTTAGCTTCACCTACTCTTTAAAAAAACACATTCACATCTTATTCTTGGTACAATGCTTAAGTTTTCACAAAAGAATCACATCCATCAAAAAAAGCACTCCATATTATATTGTATTCAAGAGTTGAAAATCATATTCAAAGCTTAGGTGAAATTGATTAATATATTAAGTAGACATCTAGAGATAGAATTTCATGTATTATACTTCTTGGCAAGCATTATTACATGATTTTTATTGGTAATTATTATGGGACTGTCACACAAGTCAGCCAGGCAGACAGACACAATGAAAGAGGCAGAAGGAGCAGCCTGCACAATTCATGGTCAGACGATGGAAAGTTGTGTGTCAACTTGTGCCTAAGTATCAACCTTTCAGGCAACTGAAGTCTTCTTTTCATAGCTGGTAGTTAGTTAGAAATAAAAATAAAGTACAAATTCTAATTAGCTATGTGCCAGGCATTATGCCAAGTGTTTTACATCAATGCTAACAATAATGCTGTGAAATAATTTTCTTATTTGCATTTTGTAGATAAGGAAACAGAGGCTTCGAGAAGTTGAATAAGCTAACCTGGGTCCCAAAGCTAGTAAGGGCATCTGTTTAATACTAGAATTCCTGTCTTTAATCCATGCTGTAAGTTAAGTCAACAGTTAAACTAACAGACTAGTTCAGATTAGAGAAAAAGGAACTATGTGTCACTAGGGAATGAAGAATAAATGGGAAAAGTTTACATCTTAACTCTCACTTGCAAGCCCTGCTCTAGCACTCCAAGGTCCTGGATCAATTCTGACCTTAGTCATGAAGAGATTTAAAGCATACTTCAAATAGATCAAATTAAATCATCATTTGAAGGATTCTGACTCTAGGACTCACCCTAATAGCCAAGTATCTATCTTGTCCTTAGAAGCAAATCTCTACCTTGAATTCCGGTTCTGTTAACTAGGTCCCTGTCATCATCCCCTGTCCCTGGATCTAAATATTCTGCCCAAGATTCCAATGTTGATCATACCCTGGGGCTGAAGTGCTGCCCTTAGACTTCAGTCTTACCGATTCTTCCTCTAATTTTGGCACTTGTAATTTGGTGTCTAACTCTCTTGACTCAGATACTCTCATTCTTATCTACCTAGCTTTTAGACCATTAAAATTACTACTAATATTACCTGGACCTACCTAAGTCACAGCATGTTGCTATCTATTACTATACTCTCTGATACTCTATCCTGCTTAGCTCTAAATTAAACAAGAACAGGCTTGGTCACACCCATATAGTAATAATAAGATATTTGTCGTACTGCTGATAATTTACTTAAAGGATCCAATGCACATGGGAAAAAAGGTTGTAACCCTCTTCTCACTAAAAACTTTGGTTCTTGGTGATTTGAAAGACGAATACTGTATTATAACTCTTTTGCTAATTTTCTTGTTAGTCACAAAGACTTTTTATTAAGGAGTGCCATCAATGCACACAGATGGAAAGGTATTAATTTGTTTGTTTTTATCTCATTTTTACAATGAGACCTCAAAAAAACCTCAATAATTTTGATGTATGTTAAGCAGAAAGTAATTTTTGGCCTTCCTATTCTTTAAAATTTTGGTTTAGTTAGTGTGTTTGTTTCCTGGTTTGTTTTTTGGCTGGTAGCAAGGAAGCAAAGGGGGGATTAATGAAAGACTGGAGAAATGATACACTTTATGCTCAATAGTGCTGTTGTGAGCATCCAGACATGATTTAAAGACAAAAATAACATCTAAGAATGAATATGTTATTTCTGGAGACATGGTTAGGTTATGCAAACCTTTTACACATTTCTTGGCCTAGCTCTGCAATTTATTCAGCTTGGAGAATATAAATGCATAAGAACTAACCCTCTTGGGAAACAATACTCTCTGGGTGAAAATCTCTTGGATATTTTAAATCTTAGCAAGATACTGTAAAAAATGGAGAAAGTAAGTGAGCATTGAATGGAAAAAATATCTAGTCTAAAATTAATCTTATGACATATGTGAGCTGTCTTAGTTCTCAAACCCTTTCCACAACCACACTCATATTTTTCACCATCTCTAATGAAAGCAGTGGAAGTTATGGCAATAATGACTAAAGGCTATAATTGCCTTATGAGAGGATTTCTGTTAGTTGATGAAAAAAGTTACAAGTTACAAACCAAAATAAACTGAAATTTCATCTTTCCTACTAAAAGATACAAAAGTGCCATTTAAAAAAAAAAAAAAAACATGGTATAGCCAAGTAATAAGTGCAGCTTTTTCGAGCACTCTGGTCAGTAAAAATTAAAGCAAATAGACTAATACAAAGATCACCTCACAGATTATAAGGGGTGAATTTTACTCAGCTACTAACAAATGTACGCAAACCATCCAGCCTCCCTCTCAGAAAAACAGAGTGGAATTCTAACCCTCCTGAATGCTATTCTTGTCATTGAGAACTGACAACTAATATTTAAATTCATGATGATTAATTACTATCAGTAGTTCACAAAGTAATTCTTTCTGTGACAGTCTGTGAAGTCTTGTACACCTTGTGTCTATAATACACACACACTGATACATACACACATACCTTGCTGTTTCATCCTTTCAGGAAATGCTACAACAATATTAGTTCAAAATCCCATAACTTTAAACAATTGCATTTATTGAGCACTTTCAGGTGACAAAAATTCTTGAATGATATAAATTATATTTAATATCCCTCAAGAACTTACAGGGTAGCTATCCTTTATTTCATTTTACAAATATGGAAACAAGGACACAGAATGGATAACTTTGCTCAAGATAACATATTTGAGATGTGAACTAATGTAAATGGGATAGATTGTATCTGAAACGGACAATGATTTAACTGCATTACATGCCTACACTTCCAAAATTGTCTGATTATACAACTGTCACAAATTCCTGAGGATACAATATCTTCCAAGAATCAGACTAGATTTCCCATTCCTCTGTCTGGACTGATCCTGTATTAGTGACTCCCTGTCACTGACCCAGATTATCTGTATTCCCTATAGGGCAGTGGTCCCCAACCTTTTTGACACCAGGGACCAGTTTTGTGGAAGACAATTTTTCCACAGACGGGGTGGTGGGAGGGAGGTGGTTTCAGGATGAAACTGTTCCACATCAGATCATCAGGCATTAGTTAGATTCTCATAAAAAGTGTGCAACCTAGATCCCTCGCATGCACAGTTAACAAGAGGGTTTGCACTCCTATGAAAACCTAATGCCACCTCTGATCTGACAGGAGGCAGAGTTCAGGCGGTAATGCTCGCTGGCTCAGCCACAGCTCACCTGCGGCTGCGTGGCCCAATTCCTAACAGGCCACAGACCACTACTGGTCTGCAGCCTGGGGGTTGGGGGCCCCCTGCTATACAGTCCCTTTGCCAGTTTGGTGACCATCCACCTGCTGAATCTGCCTAGCAGAGTCCCTCTCACATAGTTGGTGCTTGATAAGTATTTATTCAATGAATGAATAAATAGGTGAATGCTCTATGGCTAATCCCAGCTATATGGAAGAAGGAGGAACAGTGGAAATAAAACGTCAACTCAACTCAGTATGTCATCCTTTGAAACTCTGGCTAATTTTCACATTCTCTATGAAGTGCCTCCCTAGCACCAGACAGTGTCCTTCAGAACTCTCTCAATTAATTGCGCTTTCTTGTACTTTACTAGTCTTTAGCAGTCTCTGTCTCCTGCTGGACGGATGGGTTCCCTGAGCCCGGAACATAGTAGTAATATCAATACTGTTAAATAAATGAGAGATGATGATAGAAATGCCTATATTTCATCAGAGGCAGCATCAATCAGTGAATTTTTAGAATGATGCAATCAGCTTGGAGCAGAGAGAGCATAGGGAGCCAT
This sequence comes from Homo sapiens, assembly GCF_000001405.40. Classification (NCBI taxonomy): domain Eukaryota; kingdom Metazoa; phylum Chordata; class Mammalia; order Primates; family Hominidae; genus Homo; species Homo sapiens. The sequence goes on along the minus strand of NC_000001.11, from coordinate 65,868,153 downwards.
CTGGAAACTTAAGAATTAGAAAGTTTCTACAAGGTAGAGTTCATTGGTGTCAAAGTTAGCAATGAGAGCAAAGAGACTGAGAACTAAGAAAAGGATAGCAAGAACCATGTCTTACATATTTACCTCTTGAGCTCTAGAATCCAACACTTAGACAGATATTTGTTATCCACTCATTAAATGTCTATTAACTGACCGTAGACTCTCGAGTGCACTAGTGACTCTGTAATATCAAAGCCAGTGGAGAAATAAAGGGATTTTTAGAGAGAACAGATGGTAAGATCAAGTATGTATCTTCCCTTCCCACTGTGTCTGGGAAATCAATAAATACATGTTAGTTGACAGATTGGCATCTGCTTCTATCTGAAGTGTGTATCTCTGTTTGGGAAAAGACACTAACCTTCTGAACAATGATGTAGGGCATAGAGAATAGTTCCTAAGTAGAGGGAATCACAAGTCAGATTTATAGTATAGTCTAGTGCTTCCCATGCATTTTTAGGGCATAACAGGGATTTAGAAATGACAATATCTGTATAGTTCATTAAGATAAAAAAGACAAGGCTGCACACAGCTAGAGGCTGGAAGTCTTAGCTCAGGAGCTCAGATGCCCCAGCTCCCAAAAGGGCTAAAGTGAATCATTCTCAGCCACACGTATTGTAAAGCTATGATTTGATAAATGTTTAGGGAAATTGTCAATCTATCAGATAAGCCTTTTTAACTGTAAGAAGGAAATACATTCCAAAGTTAAAAGAAATAACTTTGCTCTTACCTGTTATTGTAGATTGTTAGGGACACCTAATATTTGAACAGAATTGGAAATAATTTTACTAGATACCTAGGATTTCAAAATCTTATTTGGACTTCCTTTTCTTTGAACTATGAAAACACTTTTTTTGAAGTCTAATAGTCCATCATTTGGTCCTTATCGTCTCATTTAAATGTCCCTTTGTGTTCCTAAGGGGCTTTTAAAATTTTTATTATAGGAAATTTCAGACATATTCCACACTAAAGAGAATACTATAATGTACCTCAATAATCCAGCTTCAATAATTATTTACTTGTTATCAGTCTTATTCCATCTATACCTCATTTTATATCCTCCTTTCAAGGCACCATATTATTTTACATGTAAATATTTCATTAAACACCTCTAAAAGTTAGAAATTCTTTGTTAAAACACCACAATACCATTATCACATCAAAAAAAGTTTTGATTAATAAAGCAAACACTCAGTTATATTCACGTTTTCTAACTTTTCTTACAATTTTTATAATTTTAGTCAAGATTCAAATATGAGTCATACATTGCAGCTGCTCAATATGCCAATATTCCCTGGAAGTCTCTCTAATCAATCCTTTTTTACTCTTTTAGTTATGTGTTAAAGATACCATTTCTCCAGCAGGGTTCTTCCCATTGACTGGAATATGCTGACTGCATTTCTATAGAGAGGTATAACATGTTCCTCTGTTGTCTTTCCAGGAAATGGGTAGTCATATCTAGAGGTTGCTATGATGCAGGTATTATTGCTGTTGGTAGCTTTACGTGACCTAGTAATATTTTAGGATTCATATTTTGTCAGTTAGTTTTGTCACACATATTGTCTAAAAGCAAAAAAAAAGTTTCTTTTTCACTTTTTGTGGTGAATACAGGGAAATTCAAAAACCACTTATCATCATTACCATATTGTAAAATTGTTGTTGTTGCTGACTTTATTTTTTTAAAAGTTTCTGGGGAAATTGCTTTAATCTTTATTTTGATTGAGTTTGAGTGTGTTAGTGACAATTCTGCTGCCTCAAATTTTCTCCTACTTACATGTTATATGGATGCATATTAAAAGAAAAACATGTTCAGGGGTTTTTGGTGTTGGCTTAAATTATTTTCATTATAATTGTACTTACATTTATGTAACATAAAAATAAATACAATTATTTGCATCTAGTGCCCATATAACCATAAAACTAAGGCAAATTTACAAAATAAAAAAAAAGTTGGAGTTTTAGAGGCTCAATAATGATTAACCCCTCCCTTTCCCAAGATTGGAACTAATCAAATGAAAGAGACAAGTGGAGAGCAAAATATCATCTTTCATACTGATAAAGCTGTTGAAGAACATGGCTTGGTGTGAGGATAACCTGTCCGAGTCCAAATCTTGGGACAGCCTACTTATAGAAAGTTTAGGTCTACAGAGCAGCTACAATTCACACAGGATCAGAGCTTTGTACTAGTTTCAAGGAGTGGGGGTGGTGGAGTTGGGATGGAGGGAGAGAGGGAGACAGAGAGAAAGACTGTATCAGAGAGGGACTGAATTCAGGAGGATCTGGCAAGATGGCCGAATAAAAACGGCTCCAGTCTGAGCTCCCAGGGAGACCAACAAAGAAGTTGCGTGATTTCTGCATTTCCAACTGAGGTACCCAGTTCATCTCATTGGGACTGTTTAGGCAATGGGTGCAGCCCACGGAGGAAGAGCAGAAGCAGAGTGGGGCATGCCTCACCTGGGAAATGCAAACAGCCAGGGACCTCCCTACCTCAGCCAAAGGAAGCCGTGAGGGACTGTGCTATTGGGCCCACCTAGCACGCTTTTCCCATAGTTTTTGCAATCTGCAGATCAGGAGATTACCTCATGTGCCTACACCACCAGGGCCCTGGGTTTCAAGCAAAAAACTGGGCAGCTGTTTGGGCAGACACTAAGCTAGCTGCAGGAGTTTTGTTCCTCCCCTCCCCTCCCCGCCACCCCCCAGAGGCACCTGGAACCCCAGCAAGACAGAGCAATTCACTTCCCTGGAAAGGGGGCTGAAGACAGGGAGCCAAGTGGTCTCACTCAGCGGGTCCCACTCCCACAGAGCCCATCTAGCTAAGAACCACTGGCTTGAAATTCTCACTAACGGCACAGCACTCTGAAGTCTACCTGGGACCATAGAGCTTGGTGTGGGGAAGGACATCCGCCATTACTGAGGCTTGAGTAGGCGGTTTTCCCCTGACAGTGCTAAGGAGGCTGGTAGGTTTGGACTAGGCAGAACTCACCACAGCATGGCAAAGCAGCTGTGGGCAGACTGCCTCTCTAGATTCCTCCTCACTGGGCAGTGCATCTCTGAAGGAAAGGCAGCAGCCCCATACAGGGGCTTATAGATAAAACTCCCATCTCCCTGGGACATGGCTCCTGGGGGAAGGGGCGGTTGTGGGCGCAGCTTCAGTGGACTTAAACGTTCCTGCCTGTGGGCTCTGAGGAGAGCAGCTGATACTGATGAGGTGGATTCTCCCAGCACGGTGTTTGAGCTCTGCTAAGGGACTGACTGCCTCCTAGAGTGGATCCCTGAACCCCGTGCCTCCTAACTGGGAGAGACCTCCCAACAGGGGTCGACAGACACTTCATACAGGAGAGTTCCAGCTGGCATCAGGCTGGTGCCCCTCTGGGATGAAGCTTCCAGAGTAAGGAGCAGGCAGCAATCTTTACTGTTCTGCAGCCTCCACTGGTAATACCCAGGTGAACAGGGTCTGGAGTGGAGCTTCAGCAAATTGCAGCAGACCTGCAGAAGAGGGGGCCTGACTGTTAGAAGAAAAACTAACAAACAGAAAGCAACATAAACATCAACATCAACATAAAGGACCCCCGCACAAAAACCCATCCAAAGGTCATCAGCCTCAAAGATCAAAGGTAGATAAATCAACAAAGATGAGGAAAAACCAGGGCAAAAATGCTGAAAATTCCAAAAACCAGAATGCCTCTTCTCCAAATGATCGCAACTCCTCTCCAGCAAGGGCACAAAACTGGATGGAGAATGAGATTGAAGAATTGACAGAAGTAGGCTTCAAAAGGTGGGTAATAACAAACTCCTCTGAGCTAAAGGAGCATGTTCTAACCCAAGGCAAGGAAGCTATGAACTTTGATAAAAGGTTACAGGAACTGCTAACTAGAATAACCAGTTTAGAGAAGAACATAAATGACTCGGTGGAGCTGAAAAACACAGCACAAGAACTTCGTGAAGCATACACAAGTATCAATACCTGAATTGATCAAGCAGAAGGAAGAATATCAGAGATTGAAGATCAACTTACTGAAATAAGGTATAAAGACAAGATTACAGTAAAAAGAATGAAAGGGAATGAACAAAGCCTCCAAGAAATATGGGGCTCAAATTCACACATAATAATATTAATCTTAAATGTATATAGGCTAAAAGCCCCAATTAAAAGACACAGACTGGCAAATTGGATAAAGACCCATCAGTGTGCTGCATTCAGGAGACCCATTTCGTGGCAAAGACATACATGGGCTCAAAATAAAGAGAAGGAGGAATATTTACCAAGCAAATGGAAAGCCAAAAAAGCAGGGGTTGCAATCCTAGTCTCTGATAAAACAGACTTTAACTGACAAAGATCAAAAAAGAGAAAGAAACGCATTACGTAATGGTAAAGGGATCAATGCAACAAGAAGAGCTAACTATCCTAAATATGCATGCACTGAATACAGGAGCACCCAGATTCATAAAACAAGTTCTTAGAGACCTACAAAGAGACTTAGACTCCCACACAATAATAGTGGGAGACTTTAACACCCCACTGTCAATATTACACAGATCAACAAGACAGAAAATTAGCAAGCATATTCAGGACTTGAACTCAGCTCTGGAAGAAGCATATCTAATACACATCTACAGAACTCTCCATCCCAAATCAACAGAATATACATTCTTCTCAGCAACACATCGCACTTATTCTAAAATTAACCATATAATTGGAAGTAAAGCACTCCTCAGCAAATGCTAGAGAACATAAATCATAACATACAGTCTCTCAGACCACAGTGCCATCAAATTAGAACTCAGCATTAAGAAACTCACAAAAAAACTGCACAACTACATGGAAACTGAACAACCTGCTCCTGAATGACAACTGGGTAGATAATGAAATTAAGGAAGAAATAAAGAAGTTATTTGAAAACAGTGAGAACAAAGAGACAACATACCAGAACCTCTGAGACACAGCTAAAGCAGTGTTAAGAGGGAAATTTATAGCACTAAATGTGCCCACATCAGAAAACTGGAAAGATATGAAATTGACACCCTAACATCACAATTAAAAAAACTAGAGAAGGAAGAGCAAACAGAACTGAAGAAGACAGAGACACAAAAACCCTCCAAAAAATCAATGAATCCAGGAGCTGGTTTTTTGAAAACATTAACAAAATAGATAGACCACTACACAGAATAATAAGAAAAGAGAGAAGAATCAAATAGACACAATAAAAAATGATGAAGGATGTATCACCACTGATCCCTCAGAAATACAAACTACCATCAAAGAATACTATAAACACCTCTATGCAAATAAACTAGAAAATCTAGAAGAAATGTATTAATTCCTGGACACATACACCCTCTCAAGATTAAACCAGGAAGAAGCCGAATCCCTGAATAGACCAATAACAAGCTCTGAAATTGAGGCAGTAATTAATAGCATACCAACCAAAAAAAGGTCCAGGACCAGACGGATTCACAGCTAAATGCTACCAGAGGTACAAAGAGGAGCTAGTACCATTCCTTCTGAAACTATTCCAAACAACAAAAAAAGAGGGACTCCTCCCTAACTCATTTTATGAGGCCAGCATCACCCTGATAACAAAACCTGGCAGAAACGCAACAAAAAAAGAAAATTTCAGGCCAATATCCCTGATGAACATTGATGCAAAAATCCTCAATAAAATACTGGCAAACCGAATCCAGTTGCACATCAAAAAGCTTATCTACCACGATCAAGTCAGCTTCATCCCTAGGATGCAAGGCTGGTTCAACATATGCAAATCAATAAATGTAATCCATCACATAAATAGAAATAATAACAAAAACCATATTATTATCTCAATAGATGCAGGAAAAGCCTGCAATAAAATTCAACACCCTTTCATGCTAAAAACTCTCTATAAACTAGGTATTGATGGAACATATCTCAAAATAATAAGAGCTATTTATGACAAACCCATAGCCAATATCATACTGAATGGGCAAAAGATGGAAGCATTCCCTTTGAAAACTGGTATAAGACAAGGATGCCCTCTCTCACCACTACAATTCAATATAGTATTGGAAGTTCTGGGCAGGTCAATCAAGCAAGAGAAAGAAATAAAGCTTATTGAAATAGGAAGGGGGGTAGTCAAACAGTCTCTGTTTGCAGATGACATTATTCTATATTTAGAAAACCCATCATTTCAGCCCAAAAACTCCTTAAGCTGATAAGCAACATCAGAAACATCTCAGGATACAAAAATCAATGTGCAAAAATCATAAGCATTCTTATGCACCAATAATAGGCAAGCAGAGAGCCAAATCATGAGTGAACTCCCATTCACAATTGCTACAAAGAGAATAAAATACCTAGGAATACAACTTACAAGAGATATGAAGGACCTCTTCAAGAAGAACTGCAAACCACTGCTCCAGGAAACAAAAGAGGACACAAACAAATGGAAAAATATTCCACTCTCATGGATAGGAAAAATCAATATCATGAAAATGGCCTTATGGCCCAAAGTAATTTAGAGATAGAATCCTATTCCCATCAAGCTACCATTGACCTTCATTGCAGAATTAGAAAAAAACTACTTTAAATTTTGTATGGAACCAAAAAAGAGCCTGTATAGCTAAGACAATCCTAAGCAAAAAGAACAAAGCTAGAGGCATCACACTACCTGACTTCAAACTAACTACAAGGCTACAGTAACCAAAACAGCATGGTACTGGTACCAAAACAGATATAAAGACCAGTGGAACAGAAAAGAGACCTCAGAAATAACACCACACATCTACAGCCATCTGATCATCAACAAACCTGGCAAAAACAAGCAATGGAGAAAGGATTCTCTATTTAATAAATGGTGCTGAGAAAACTCACTAGCTGTATGCAGAAGAGAGAAACTGCACTCCTTCCTTATACCTCATACAAAAATTAACTCAAGATGGATTAAAGATTTAAATGTAAAACCCCAAACCATAAAAACCATAGAAGAAAACCTAGGCAATACCGTTCAGGACCTAGGCAAGGGCAAAGACTTCAAGACTAAAACACCAAAAGCAATTGCAACAAAAGTCAACATTGACAAAAGGGATCTAATTAAACTAAAACACTTCTGCACAGCAAAAGAAACTATCATCAGACTGAACAGGCAACCTACAGAATGGGAGAAAATTTTTGCAATCTATCCATCTGACAAAGGGCTAAGATCCAGAATCTACAAAGAATTTAAACAAATTTACAAGAAAAAAACAAATGTCCCCATCAAAAAGTGGGTGAAGGATATGAACAGACATTTCTCAAAAGAAGACATTTTTGCAGCCAACAAACATATGAAAAAGAGCTTATCTTCACTGGTCATTAGAGGAATGCAAATCAAAACCACAATGAGATAACATCTCATGACAGTTACAATAGTGATCATTAAAAAGTCAGGAAACAACAGGTGCTGGAGAGGATGTGGAGAAATAGGAAAGCTTTTACATTGTTGGAGGGAGTGTAAATTAGTTCAACCATTGTGGAAGACAGTGTGGCAATTCCTCAAGGATCTAGAACTAGAAATACCATTTGACCCAGCAATCCCATTACTGGGTATATACCCAAAGGATTATATATCATTCTACTATAAAGACACATGCACACGTATGTTTATTGCAGCACTGTTCACAATAGCAAAGACTTCGAACCAACCCAAATGCCCATCAGTGATAGATTGGATAAAGAAAATGTGGCACATGTACACCATGGAATACTATGCAGCCATAAAAAAGGATGAGTTCATGTCCTTTGCAAGGGCATGATCAAGCTGGAAACCATCCTTCTCAGCAAACTAACACAGGAACAGAAAACTAAACACTGCATGTTCTCACTCACAAGTGGGAGTTGAACAATGAGAACACATGGACACAGGGAGGGGAACATCACACACCAGAGCTGTCAGAGGGTGAGCGGTGAGGGGAGGGAGAGTATTATGACAAATAGCTAATGCATGTGGAGCTTAAAACCTAGATGACAGGTTGATAGGTGCAGCAAACCACCATGGCAAATGTATACCTATGTAACTAACCTGCATGTTCTGCACATGTATCCAAGAACTTAAAGAAAAATTTTAAAAAACAGAGAGAGAGTTTTAATTCATAATGCCTACAGTGTTTCACCAGATTAGCTCTACCCAATCAAAGAACATAGATCAGTGGTTTTCATCTTCCAACCACACAATTCACTACTCCTGCATGGGCAAAAACGAGGGGTAGGGCAAGATGTCAGAGGTGTTTTTCTAATGTGTATCTCTCTATAGGGAAATAAGAAGAGTGGAGAAATTTCTTAACAAGCAATTAATTTAACTTCATTAATTTAATGTGATATATAATGTTTTTTTCTAAAAGATAGTTGCCAACAATGAGTATGGTAGTGGAAAGCTGTATTTATCTACAGTATTTGTACATTGTATGTCAGTTACCATTGGTCTAATCATTGTTGTTTTGAGCATATATTGACCATTAATTAATTTTTGTTATTTTCCTTTTTTTACAGCAAGCTCGCTTTTGACGACCAATCGTTCATTTTATATGACGGTCCACATCTTTCTACAACAAAACTGAATACCAAATTTTAAAATATCATTAATGAAAATATTTTCATAACTTTGCAAAACAAAAGAAAGAAGTGTTGTAATTTATACAAAGATGGTATCTACCTAATTACTCAATACATTCACCTAAAAGGTAAATGTGGCATGATGCATATTCTTTTGTATTTTACATCTTTGTACCAGAGTCTTATGCTTGTTCAATTCTCCCAACTATTTTCTCAATTTAAACTAAGACTAAACTCTGCATTAGTTTTTGTGATATCAATTGACCTTTACTTTGTTCCAATGTAAATGTAAACCAGTGCAAAAGGGGCATCTAGATAATCTAGAATATCTTATATCAATTATTTTATATAATGAAATAGAAAATCTAAACATTATTACTGTACTCATGGATAACCAAAAATAAGTTCTCAAAGATCCAGGGAACCCATAGGTGTCAGTTTGAGAAATGCTAGGCACTTCTAGCATTTGTGCTAGAATATTTGGGCAACACACAAATATCTGAAGGTGAATAATTGGATGCCAATGTGTACATTATATAATAAAGTTCAAACAGCTCCGAAGAAAACATAAGAATTCATATACTTCCAAGTGCAAACATCTCTGAAATGGAAGTAAAGGGCTCCCTCTTCCCATCTCTCTTAATAATGGTCTATTACAGAATGGTTCAGAGCTGAACTGCATCTTTTTTTCTCTCAACCACCCTATTAAAACAAAACAAAGGCCACCAGAATGGTCCCTTGCCATTCAGCAGTAAATTTTCTGTCTTTTTGTTTAACAAAATTGCTAAACTTTTAAATGCTAAAACAGTCAGTCTCAATATGTGATTTACTAACCAGAAGATATAGACAGAAAAGAGGAAAATACGGTATACAGACTGAAAGGAAGGGCCAAAATGTTGTATAAAAGATAGATGAAAAAACTATAAAATTAAGTCTAAATGTGACTACTTAACACTTTCTAATTTCCAATTGCTGTATACAATATTTAATCAACATCGAATGTCATATTTTATCCAAGATGATGAAATATTTCCAAGTAGATGTAAACTTGTCATCAAGCTATGTTTTAAAAATGTTTGTAGATTAATGTGTTGGAACTTGCAGCCAAATAGCCATCACGGCTGTTTAAAACTTCGATACATTTTCTTGTGTAAAAAAGATTATAAATCAGGTATGTACAATGGTAGTATTAGAACTACAGATCAGCTTCATGTGAATAAAATAGGCTTTTGTGGGTTGGCCTATACACCTAACCACCATTTATAATAAGGAGGTGGCAGGGAATAAACGCTGATTATATGAATTTAAATCTTCTCAGCTGAACTGAACTCATTTTTAACACTTTCAAAGTGGTTCCTAGGGACTACAATGAGTTGCCCTGGAATTTAAATTAATGTTGCCATTTGAGAATGAAACTTTCAGAAATAAACCACAAATGACAAAATTAGTTCTCAGTAGAAATAAGCCACTACAAGAGATAGATCCCTGAGTCTATTTGGGAACTTCGAAGTTCAGACAAAATAACAACTGTGCAAAGCCAGAAATATATGTTTGAATACAAAAGAAAGCTCCAGGCTAGTCATCTGTATTATGTAACCTGCCTGCAAAAAAGAGAACATGGCAACATGGTGGCCTATGTGAAGTCTAGAGAGAAAAAAAAAAAAAGGAGTCAAGATCAGGAATCTGGAATCTTGTACAACATTGCCAAAGGCAAAGAAATACTGAGTCTAGAAGGCACAAGTAACTAGTCATTAAGATATCTGACTTCAAGTATTCACTTATCCAACAAATATATCTGGAGTTAGACCGTATGCCCAATGGTGTTTTTGGCAACAGAGATGTTACAATGATTAAAACAGGAAAAAAAATACATTCAAGGCAAGATAAAAAATAGGTGACAAGGCAGGGTCTTGCTATGTTGTCCAGCCTGAATTCAAACTCCTGGGCTCAAGAGAGCCACCTGCCTCAGGCTCCCTAGTAGCTGGGACTGCAGGTGCACACCACTGCACCTGGTTTGTTTTTTATTTTTGCATCAGGTATCCACATCGCTTCTCTTAACATGAGCAAAGTTTTATTTAAAGTCACCTTTGAAACTACAAGACCCTGGCTCTAAAAAATAAAAATAAAAAAGTAAAGAGAAGAGTAATGCTAAGAGGTGGAATCACAGAAAACATTCCTGAGGTGGAATCATGCCTAGTGTGTTTGAGAAAAATCAAGGGCACTACTATGCCTGGAATGCAATGAGTACCAGGAAAAGAGAAATTAACTGAGACTACTTTGTATAGGGCCTTGTAGGCTATTCTAAGGAATCTGGTTTTGACTCTGGGTAAGATAAAAAATTATTAAAGTTTAGAACAGAACATTACTATATATGACTTACATTTTTAAAGCAGTATTTTAGCTACTCTGCCAACATCAAACTGGGGAGAGGTGTGGGTGCAGGTTGTAAGAAAAATCCCAGAGAAAACAGTTAGGGAGCTAGAACAGGCACCAGCATGATGGTAATGGAAATGGGACAAGATGCTATTTTGATGACACAATTGACAGAATTTCAATTGTACCATCAAAGACAAGATCAGAAGTCAAGGATAACTCCAAGATATCTGACACTATCCACTGACAAGGCAGTTGCATTAAACTGAGGTGGGGCTACTTCGAAGGAAGGAGTATATCTGTGGGACTGCCAGTGTTAAGACTTTCCTGAGGCCAAGCCAAGCAAACGCTTAAGAATCTCTATCTCAATGCTTTTGATTGACTGTTGGTTGGAATGTAAGTTAGTTCAACCATGCGGAAGACAATGTGGTGATTCCTCAAGGATCAAGAACTAGAAATACCATTTGACCAAGCAATCCCCTTACTGAGTATATACCCAAAGGATTATAAATCATTCTACTATAAAGACACATGCACACATATGTTTATTGCAGCACTATTTACAATAGCAAAGACTTGCAACCAACCCAAATGCCCACCAGTGATAGACTGGATAAAGAAAATGTGGCACATATACACCATGGAATACTATGCAGTCATACAATGAATGAGTTCATGTCCTTTGAAGGGACATGGATGAAGCTGGAGGCCATCATTCTCACAAACTAACACAAGAACAGAAAACCAAACACTGCATATTCTCACTCATAAGTGCGAATTGAACAATGAGAACACATGGACATAGGGAGGGGAACATGACACACCAGGGCCTGTTGTGGGGGTGGGGCAAGAGAGGAAGAGCATTAGGACAAAAACCTAGATGATGGGTTCATGGGTGCCGCAAACCACCATGGCACATGTATACTCATGTAACAAACCTGCACGTTCTGCCCATGTATCCCAGAACTTAAAGTAAAATAATTTAAAAAACTCTATCTCCTTGCACATTGATTGCATGTTCACCAGTAAATCTTTCAATTATTAATGTCATCCATCAAGTGGTATTAGGGAGATAGTGCCTAAAACAATAGATAGGCATATTTTGGTCATAAAAAGTTTTATCTTCAATCAAAAATTAATAAATTGGGAGACTTCTGCATCTAGTTATGAAACAATGAGCCCACATGTAGTCTCCCACTGTAAACAAAAAGAAAACTGGGAAAAGATACAAAAAAACACTTTCAGACCTAGAAAAAGAGATGATACAGGACTGCAATCACTATGACTGCAGGCAAATGAGGTTAGCCTTATGTTTGCCCTGGCTTTCTGCCTAGAGCCACGTTCTGTACATCAGAGAGGGAAAATAGATCCCAAGCAGAACACAGTAGTCCTCACCAAATCAAGGACGCAAAGATCAGATTTCAAGCAGACTCCAGAGGCTGGAACATATGCAGTAGAGTTATAGAGAAGAGGTAGTTATAGGAAAAAGCGGGGGCTCCAGAAATATTTACAGAAATCTTCTTGAATCCACTGAATATTAAGACATACCTATGCGGGGTGAAATGACACAAAATTGAACACGGAATAATCAGGTGGCTGTCAGTTCAACTATTCCTAGAGCCCACCCAGAAATGGGAAACATTTGAGTTCTGATGGAGCAGAGATTCCTCATTGACCACTTGGAGTAATCAGTAAAGATCTAGAAGTTCTGTGCAAGTAGTAGGACTAATCTACCTCTAGAAAAAGGGCTACTCGAGACTCATTCTATTAAAACTTCTTTAAAAGCTTCAAAAGGATCAAACTAAGCTGCAGTTAACCAACCAACAGCTGGGGAAAAATAATCAATATAATTTAAAAGAACAAAACAAAATCAAGATACTCAACAATGTAACATTCACAATTTCCAATATCTAATAAAATATCATTACAAATGGAAAAGAAACTGGAAAATATGTTACCCAGGGAAAATATCAGTCAATAAAAACCAACCCTGAAATGGCAGAAAAGATAGAATAATATAATATAATATAATATAATATCTGCTTAAATAAGAATGTAAAAGCAGATATTATAACTATTTCTTAATATTAAGGAAAATTTACACATGAGAGAGAAATTAAATGTAGAAAATAATCAAATGAAATATCTAACAATAAAAAACAATATTTGAAAAACAATTTCTTTGGATGATATTAAGAGCAGATCAGATACTATGAAATGAAAATTTAAAAATAGTAAATTTGAAAACATATCCAAAAAAGAATATCCAAATGGAGTTCAGAGAGAGAAAAAATAGGAAAACAATAAACAAAAACTCAATGACCTGAAGCATAAAACTAAGAGGTCTAACTAGGAGGTATGGAGTTCCAGAGGAGAGGAAAGATGGGGAAAATGGAAAAATACTTTTACAAAAGCTAAAATTTTAATAAATTTAATGAAAAGTATAAACCTACTTGCAAGAATTTCAGCAAACTCAAGTGGAATAAATACAAGAAAAGTATATCACACACTTCATATTTAAATTGCCAAAGGGTAATGATAAATATAAATACTTAAAAGCATCCAGAGAAAAATAAGATACATTACTTACAGAGACACCAATATGTGTGCAGCAGTCATTGGAGCCATGACTTTAAAATGATGAAGAAAAAACTGACAATCTAGAATTTTATACCTAGAGAATATATTTTTTAAATGAGAGCAAAATAAACACATTCAGAAAAAAAAAAGGCTGGGAGAATTTAATGCCAGTGGGTATGCACTATAGGATACGTTAAAGAAAGTTCTTCAAACAGAAAGAAAAGAATCAATGAAAATGAGTCCACAAAAAAAGAATGAAGAGCTTGAAAATTTGTAAACATATGAGGAAATATAAAATAAATTGCTTCTAATTTTTAATTTCTTTAAAACAAAATTTACTATTTAAAGCAAAAAAAGAACATGCATTTATTATGTATATAATAAATGTATATATATATTTGCATATATATATAAGCAAAACATACAGTCTTTTAAAAGGAGAGGAGAGGACAGGTAGAAGTATAGGTGGGTTGGGGTTCTTATGTGTGAAGAGGTATAATGTTATTTGAAGGTAAACATGATAAGCATATTGCCAACTTTCTTAGATCATCTATAATAACCCTAGGCTCTCATGTGGACCACTGGGCACAGAAAACCATGTGAGTGACTGTTTTATTTATTTTCCAAAGGATGGTCAATAAATAACTCCATATTGGGCACATAAGAAAGAAAATAGTTCATTATATACAATAGATGCCTTAGGGTATTAGTTTAATTCTGCCTTCAAACTCAGATTGAGCAAAGCTCCCTAGAACAACTTCTTAAAAGTAAATCAGCCAGGCGCGGTGGCTCATGCCTGTAATCCTAGCGCTTTGGGAGGCTGAGGTGGGCGGATCACGAGGTCAAGAGATTGAGACCATTCTGGCCAACATGGTAAAACCCCGTCTCTACTAAAAATACAAAAATTAGCTGTGCGTGGTGGTGCATGCCTGTAGTCCCAGCTACTCAGGAGGCTGAGGCAGGAGAATCACTTGAACCTGAGAAGTGGAGGTTGCAGTGAGTCGAGATTGTGCCACTGGACTCTAGCCTGGCGACAGAGTGAGACTCCGTCTCAAAAATAAAAAAAAAAAAGGGTTATAATGCATAAGCTAATAATGAAGAATAACACAAAATATTTTTAAATACACAACTAAAATAAAAGAAGTCACAAAAAGAATAAAAGAGGAAAGACAAATAGAAAATTAATAGAAATATGGTAGATTAAAACTGAAATATATCTATAATAACATTAGATAAAAGTTTAAATGCTCCAATTAAAATGCAGAGATTGACAAACTTCTTTAAATAAAGAGCAGGATCCAACTTTATGCTGTCTACAAGAAACCCACTTAAAATGTAAAGTTATAGATACATTATAAGGAAATGACAAAAAAGATATACCACAAAAATTGTAATCATAAGAATACTGTTTTTAACATTAGATAAGGTAGACTTCGAAACAAGGAATGTAATTAGGACAAAAAGAAGCATGTCACAATGATAATGGAGTCAACTGATCAAGAGGGCATAGAAATTATAAATTTGTATGCACCTAATAACAGAACTTCAAAAAACAAGAGGCAAAAACTGGCAGAACTGAAAAGGAAAATAGCTAAATGTAAAATTATAATTGGATAATTCAATACTCTTCTCTCAGTGATTGAAAAAACAAGCAGACAGGCAATCTGTAAGTATAAATAATTCTTAACATTATCAATAAATTTACCCAATTGACATTTATAAAATGTACACCCAATGACAGTAGAATCCAAATTGTCTTCAAGTATATGAAAAGTGTACCAAGAGATATAATAGCATGGACCATAAACAAGTCTTGATTAATTTAAAAGAACTGTAATCATTCAAAAGATGTATCTGACCACAACAGAGTTATACTAGAAATCAATAGAAAAAAATCACATGGAAATCCCCAAGTAAATGTAGATTAGAAAACATATTAAACTGAATAAAAATGAAAGTAAAACATATAAAATTCTGTGATAAACAGCTAAAGCAGTGTTTACAGTGAGAGACATGGATTTAAATTAGAAAACAAGACAGAAAAGAGCAAAGATCCAAAATCAATAATGTAAGCTTTCATATTAATGTTGTAGAATAAGAAGAGCAAAGTAAGCTCAACTAGATAGAAGGAAAAAAAGATAAAAACAGGAGTTAAAAATAAATGGAAATAAAGTAGGTTTATTGAAAACATTATGAATACTCCTATGTCAATTAAATATTGAATTCTTTATTCAAATCTGAACAAGAACCATAAAAGTTTCTGAACTCGGATTGCTTTATTGAATAATTCTATCTAATATTTAAGTAAAAAATAATGCCAATCCTACATAAAATCTTTTAGAAACCTGGAGATGAGAGAAAAAAATCTCATTTCATTTTACAAGGTTAGCATAACCCTGATAGTCTAACCAGACAAATTAAACCAATAAAACTACAAATCCATGTCTTTCATGAAAATAGATATAAAATCTTCAAAAGTTCTTGGAAATAGAATCCAGCACTAAACAAAAAAGGGATAATATACCATAATCAAGAAAAATTTATCCTAGAGATGTAAGGCTGATTTCATATTCAAAAATCAATCAGTGTAATTCACTGCATTAACATATTAAAACACATTCATCTCAGTAGATGCAGAAAAAGAGTTCCTGATTAAAACATATTTTAAAACTCTCAGAAAACTATCAATAGAAGAAGCATCTATCAAAAACTCTTCTAACATCCTACTTAATGATGAAAGAATGCTTTCCCCCAATATCGGATAACAAAAACAAGAACTCCAATCTCACTACTTCTATTCAACACTAGAGCAGCAAGGTGAGAAAAGAGATAAAAACCATACAGACAAGAAAGACAGACCTCCTTTAAAAAAATAGAAAGAAGAAACCTTTTAGAATCAATAACTATATTTAACAAGGACTCAAGATTTAATCCCAATATTTTAAAAATTAAGCTTATTTCTATATACTAGCAACAAATAGTTGGAAAATAAATGTTTAAATACCATTTAAAATAGCATCATAAACCACGAATGATTAACAAATAAATTTAACAATTTATATGTGTACTTGTACAATGAAAGCTACAAAACACTGTGGAAAGAAAGACCTAAATAAATAGAGAAACATACAATGTTCATTAATCATAAGACTAAGATTGTTCACGTTAGTTCTCTTTAAATTTATCTATAGAGTCAACTTAATCCAAATCAAAATCTCAGCAAATGCTTTTGTAAATATTAATTATATGATTCTAACATATATATAGAAAAAATGTGTATATAAATGCAAAAAAAGAAAAAAATGCTAAAATAGCAAAAACTGTTTTGAAAAAGTACATATTGGGAGGACTTAAACTGTTGGATGGCAAATTTTACCATAAAGCTGCTGTAATCAAGACAATATGGTACTGGCATAAGGATAAAACATAGGTTCATGAAACAAATTAGAGAATCCAGAAACATATCAAGCGTATTCGGCCTATTGATTTTTGACAGCATCTAAACTAATTCAATGGGAAATAGAAAGACTTTTTAGCTAATTGTTGCTAGAACAATTGAGCATCCCTTGGGGTAAGGGGAGGACTCATATTCACATACATGTGAACCTCAAGTATTATCTCACTTCATACAAAAAATTAATCTGAAATGGATCACAGACCTAAATGTGAAAGCTAATACACTAAAACTTACAGAATAAAACATGAAAGAAAATATTTGTTACCTAGGTAAAGATTTCTTCGATAGGAAAGAAAAGCACAAAGTGTTAAAAATATGTTAGACTTTATCAAGTTTTTAAAATTCTGCTCTTTGAAACTCATTGTGAACAAAATGCAAAGGCAAGATACAGACTGAGGGAAAACTTTTGTAACATATATTTGGGGGTACACCCACATCTAGAATATATATATATACACACACATGCAAACACACATATACACACAAATACACACAAACACACTCTTACTCAGCTATAAGAACACAAACCAATAATTCACTTTTGTAATGGACAAAAGATTTGAACAGAAACTTCTCATAAAAAGATACACAAATGGCCAACTAAAATAACTATCCACATCCTTCACCATCAGAGGACTGTGAATTAAAACCACAAAGTGATATTGCATCAAACTCACTACAATAACTTCATTGTTCACTACACCATTCTACACTATGCACTACAAATTCACTACAAAAAGTACAGAGCAGGCCGGGCACAGTGCTCACCCCTGTAATCCCAGCACTTTGGGAGGCTGAGGTGGGTGGATCACCTGAGGTCAGGAGTTCGAGACCAGCTTGGCCAACATGGTGAAACCTCATCTCTACTAAAAATACAAAAATTAGCTGGGCATGGTGGCAGGCGCCTGTAATCCCAGCTACTTGGGAGGCTGAGGCAGGAGAATCACTTGAACCTGAGAGGCAGAGGTTGCAGTTGCACTCCAGCCTGGGCAACAGAGAGAGACTCTGTCTCAAAAAAAAAAAAAAAAAAAAAAGTGCAGGGCAATACTACTAAGCGTTGGTGATGATATGGAGTAACTGAAACACTCATGTATTGCTGGTGGGAATGCGAATGGTGCAACTGCTTTGGAAAGCAGTTTGGCAATTGCTTATAGAAACATACAAACATAACATATGACTCAGTGACTGTGCTCCTATGCATTTACCAAGTGTGTCAGTTACCAATTTATTGACTCTTAGTTCCATATCCAATTTGCAATAACTGGCTGTAATAATCGAACTGAATCCTATATTTATTCTTTGCCAGGTGTCACAACCCTTTGTAACAGAGGGTTCCAAAAAGACAATAGAGAAAAGGGGCGTTCTTGTTCTGGTTCTGGTATGTTTCTTGCATCAGGCTCTCAAAATGCACACAGTTGTGTTGTTGTTTTTTTTCTTTTTCTGCAGTGCCCAGTATCTAAAAGTATATGACATGTTCTCATGGCCAGCTTCCCTTGGCATTCCCTCAGGTAGTTTTGCAGTGGAGTGCCACTGGCAGGGAAGCTTCCTCCCGGGCCCATAGAGTGGGATCCCCACCAGTGCCACCTGTTAAACACATTCCCTTGAATGGCATACACTGGCACCCAGAGAGAAAAGTCACTGGCCGGACAACTCTACTTAACCAGTTTCTTTCAACACCTCCTCAGGATGCTTCCCAATGGAGTACTGCTAGCCTGGCACCTCCCTGTTCTCAGCTTCCCCTGAAACCCCTTTAGGATGCATCCTTATGGAGTGCCACTGTGAACCTGCTCTGGGTAAAAAGCTTTCCTTGGTAACCCAGACAATCACCTCCCAGTGAGTGTGACAAGTAAGGCACCTCCACTTCAACAGCTTCCCAACCCCTCCTTGAGTATCTCTCCAGTGAGTTCTGAAGTACAGTTCCTGTCCATCAACACTTACCCCTTGCACTTCTGAAGGCAAATAGCCAGTGGAGTCCTGTTAGTGAGACATTTTACAGAAATACCCCACTATCTATTGAGCCATGAGCATGCCCTCTCAAATAGAGTGGTTGCTTCTTTCTATTCTGCTAATCCCATGTTCTCTAGAATTCTCTTTACCTCTTAATAGCCAATTTTCCATTACTCCAATGGTCTAATGATAGTATTCTATTAATAATTATTATCTATTAAGTGATTTTAATAATATTTTTAAATTAAATATTTCCTAAATGGTGTGGTTCCTGTCTCTTGATTGGACCCTGACTGATATACCAAGAGAAATAGAAACTTCCTTCCATCCACAATAAGACTATTACACAAATATTGAGAGTAGCTTTATTCATAATAGCTGGCAACTGGAAAGAATTCAAATGTTCAACAAAGGTAAATGGATGAATGATTTGTCATATATCAACGCAATAACATATTGTCAGCAACATAAATGAATGAACTATTAGTACATGAAACAACATGAATGAATCTCAGAAACATTTTGTTGAATAAGAAAGGCCAGCCACAAAAGAGTATATATTATTCCATTTATATGAAACTTTAGAAAGAAAAATTAATCTATGGTGATAGCATATCAGTGTTTGCTTGGGCTGAGAGTAGGGCATAAGAAGTGACTAGAAGTTGGCACAAGAGACTCTTAAGATAATAGAAAGGCCTACATGTTGATTGTGGTTGACATTTCACAGACATATATGTCAAAATTTATCAAGCTGGGCCAGGCGTGGTGGCTTACAGCTGTAATCCCAACACTTTAGGAGGCTGAGGCAGACAGATCATGAGGTCAAGAGATCGAGACCATCCTGGCCAACATGGTGAAATCCCGTCTCTACTAAAACACACACACACAAAAATTAGCCATGCGTGGTGGCACATGCCTGTAGTCTCAGCTACTCAGGAGGCTGATGCGGGAGAACTGCTTGAACCCAGAAGGTGGAGGTTGCAGTGAGCCAAGATCACGCCACTGCACATCATCCTGGTGACAGAGCAAGACTCCGTCTCAAAAAAAAAAAATGATAAAGCTGTACACTTAAAATGGGTCCATCTTATTGTTTAAAAATTATACCTCATAGTTCATTAAAAAATTAATGAATTCACAAAATTAATCAATACATTAACTCCCCCATTCATTTAATTTGGATGAAGTCATCTTGCTGAGCTTGCTCAACTTTTATTGTACTGATAAAGCTGAGTTTCCAAATGTTCCAAAAACAATTGGCCCAGTCATCTGCTTACGATTTATGAATTCACAAAATTAATCAATACATTAACTCCCCCATTCATTTAATTTGGATGAAGTCATCTTCCTGAGCTTGCTGAGCTCTTATTGTACTAATAAAGCTGAGTTTCCAAATGTTCCAAGCTCAGGGCTTGATGTCAAATGATGATAGTATACTAAAGAACTGCCACCTTTCCGGACTTTCCCTTAATACCTTCTGCTTCTTAGTTCTCTATGTGTTCAACACTTACATGAAGGTAGGAGTGACAATGAAGAAAGGACAATGATTTCAGTTGTGCCACTCACAGGCTGCTGAGAACTGCAGAAAATCATGACAACTCACCAGGTCACCACGCTTTAGAGATATCCATTCTGCTATAATCACAAAGGGATTCAGGGACTTTCAGCAAGGAAAGAGGCTAAGAGAAAGAGGTAGCCCCATCAACTTGTATTAAATAAAGATCTGAAGGCCACAGCCATCCAATCTGCTCATATGTTTGAATATAACACAATGTCAATCCTGACTTCTGTACAGCCCCAGCCATAGCTGTCATGTTGAAGAGCCCAGCAATTGAATTCAGACTGCCTGAACAATATCCTGGCTCCACCTTTACATGTGATGTGATCATAGTCAAAAAGCTTAACCTCCCTATGCCACAGTTCCCTCAGTACCTTCCTCATGAAGTTGTTGTGGGGCTCAAATGAGCCCATGGAAAATGTTTTACAAAATGGAAGACATATAGTAAGAGCTCAATACATGTTATATATTGTTGTTATTATTAGTGTTATTTTGTTGTCATGACAACTACAGTATCTAGAACAGTGATCATAACAAAAGCAAGCAATGCTATTGCCCAACAATATTAGAAAATGTTATGACTGTTAGCAGAAAACAGGTTTTTTTAAATCTACAACAGATAATGTGGTCAACAAGAATTTAATGTCATATTGCTGCTTTGTTGTTACAGTTCTTCCCACATTGAATCAATACCAGGAAAGAGTTGTTTACCATACACAAAGAATGTACTGTTTTTCCCTGTAACTCTAAGTAAAGGTTATCATGGATTGGTATGTCTTATTAAGTTTATCTGCCAAAAGCTGAGAAATTGCTAGTAATACAAATTTATGATAAAAACACTCCATTTGTGCCAGATAACTGAAATGAAAACTATTCCTCTCTATAACTATAAATGAAGTAACTCTAACTAACACTAGATACACAGCTAGAATTCTAGAGCTTTCAGAATCACTTGCTACTACTCCAGAAAGCTTTGGAAATACAATGTAGGCAACAATATCCAAACTTGTAAGAATTTGCCCCTCTGTTTCATTCACAGCTACATTCTTAGCATCTTAGCTTCTTAACCCTTCATAAATTAAATTAACTCAAAGCTCATCAACCTAGCATTCAAGGCCATTAAAAATATGTCAGAAATTGTTCTTACTGAAACTTGATTTTTATTACCTCCTATGCCACAACCAAACTGACCTATTTCTTTGTCTCCAAACATGTTCTACGATTTCTCAACTGTGTTCATTTTTGCCTCTCTGAATTCCACAACCTTGCCCTATGTTTATCTATTAAAATATACTTTATTCTATACTTAACCCAGTCTAGTGAAGTTTGTTGTCAGCCCCCAAAGGGGTTGGGAAATGCAGAGCTCATGGACAGAAACCACACCCTCCTCTCTCTGTGCTTTCTCCTCACTGGAATTAAGGGAGAGTGGCTCCTAGAGACCCATTGATAGAGACTGGAAGGTCGTGACATCCACCCTGATTGGATGCTTCCTGGGTGGAAACAACCTGTAGGCCTACCTAGTGCTGTCATGGAGTCAAACAAGATTAGTAAGAACTTAGACCATAACACCTGAAGTTTGAAAGATATGTGAACACAGGGATTGGGACCCTCTTCTGAAAAATTGATTTCTGAAGAGGAAAAGCCCACGGAGGAGGCGGCCAGCCAGGCACAGCTTAAAGATACTAAGATACAGTGTGGCTTTGAAGAACAAGATGGTAATTTACTTCCCTATTCTCTAAGCCCCTGCATAGGGACTGGAGAAAAAGTTGGAGGAGTTCTCATGGTTTCCTGTAATGAGACACCCATCCGGAGAAAGGAGATGCAGAACTTAAGAAAAATCTGACTTCCTCAATCTGAAAGAGTCATTAAAGATAAAGGGTGCAGGGGTAAAGCTGACACCCCGAGGACCATGCACAGCACTTAGGTGGATATCGCTCTACATGGACAGAGACCAGAACTGGATGGAATACAGTGACAGCAGGAGCACTGTTCAGCATCATCAATATGAGACCAGCTATACCAAGAGCTCTGCTTCCCTATTCCTTCATTCCGCCCACATTTCCTTAAACCAGAAGAGCTTATTCATCTCAAAGAGTAAAACATTGACGGTATCTCAGAGCCAGACCATATCTCACCCCTACAATAAAGTTAGGGTTACAACTCCAGCCCATGCTGTAGAGAGAGGGAGCTTTGACTCACACGAGACTGAAGTTCTAAACTGGGCTAGACTAAGTCTTAATAACTGAGAAGTGGCTAGGAAGCTATAGAAGCTAGCCAAGATTTTGTTAAAGGATGCTAGAAAATGATCCACAGAGCAGGGCTAAAAATTTAGATTGGAAAAATAAAGGCATTTCATGTTTATATTGCAATGAGTGTATATTTCTCAACAAATTATTTACAATTATTTATAACTGTGGAGAGAAGTACTGCATGTTGTTTAAGCTCACTTCTGAACTGCCAAAGTTATGTTGGATGTTATGTTGTACGCTGGGACATTATCCAGAGAATGAAAAATTGTCTGCAATTCTAATTAAAAGCAATTTATCATGTCATAGAGGCCAGAGTACAGAAATGACAGGTGGAGATGCCCCTTAGACAGATGGGGGTGGGCAGAACTCTTCACTGTAGTTGCAAATTCAGCAGCTGGGACTGTCTAGGCATACAGTTATCACTTCATATGTCAAACTACAACCCACTGAATTGATCCAAACCTCCGCAAAACTACTCCTAAATAGAGCTGCTTTACAAATCATTTACACCTCAGAATTCCTCCATAATTCTGTAATAAAAACAATTGGCCCAGTATCTGCTTATGATTTCTGGAAAGCTGTCCAGCTGGTCACAACCTCTAAGCTTTGAGCCAAGAAGAAGAGAATGCCTAGTATATCCTCCCCACTTCTTTTTATCTCTTTTTTTAGTTGCTGTTCAAGTAATGTGTTTGTGGGGAGAATAAACTACATATTAAAGACAGCAGCCTTTTTGGTTTTGGTCACTAAACAGTCTTGGAACAAAACTCCCTATAATAAAATAAATTACAAGAAACTCAAATTTGTTTTTATTTTGTTTTGTTTACTTTTTTTTGAATTTCAAATCCAACACAAAATAAGGCAGTAAGTTATTTTGGCTACCAAGTAAATAGTAATGAATTAAGCCAGTTTTAGCTGGAAAGCTTCCATTTGTCTAAGAGAACACAACGGTCTGCGAGAGTCCAGCTCTGAGACAACATTTCTTTGGTAATGTTAGATCTATCATCAAGGCGATGCCAAACACTTCCATGCGCACTACTTTTATTCCTCTTCAA
This sequence comes from Homo sapiens, assembly GCF_000001405.40. Taxonomy (NCBI): domain Eukaryota; kingdom Metazoa; phylum Chordata; class Mammalia; order Primates; family Hominidae; genus Homo; species Homo sapiens. Next base: position 65,844,341 of record NC_000001.11, on the reverse strand, counting down.
AAATGTATTTGTGTTTGGACTGCCTAGCTAAATTGTAGGATACCTGAAATCATAGAAAATACTTTCTTTCTCAATTTTGTTATCCAGTACAGCACCCAGTACAATCATGAATACCTAATAAATACTTTTATTCTGTTGACTTTTGCCATCTGGCCCCCAAGGCCTAAATCCACATTTATGAAGCAATTCAGAAGCGTCAGATGTCAGGCACTTCAGATGTACCAAATATTATGATTATATATTGAAGACATGTGGATAAGAAATGTTTGAGGTAAATACAGTTAGTTTCTCTGAAGGTCAAACAGAAAGTAAAAACCAGGAAAAAAGAAACTGAACTACCTGAAACTTTAAAAACAATCTAATTAAGCCATCCACTCATATAAGCTTTATATGGTAACTTTGTTATGAAGATGTTCTATAATTGTCTTATTTCCACTTATGTCATACTGTGGAAACAGGCGAGTAATATTCAGTTTTACCAAGCAAACATAATGTAGAGATATGCCATTTTTAGAATAATTATATTTAACCAAAAGAAAATGCTAAGTTATAGCTTCTTTTAAAAGTACATCTTTATCCTTAAAATTTTTGGAAGAATAATATGTTTGGATACAAAACTTCTTATTTGCAAATGTAAGATAAAAGCAGACTTAAGGGAAAAAAAACAAATCCTGTCTTTCAACACCTACTGACTTAATTCAACAGACTGATTAAACGCATATATATATACTTAAAAACTTTTATCCTTATTTTTCACATTAAGAAACTCAAGTTTATATACACCAATGAACATTCTTCCATGTCCCATAGGTAGGAAATGAAAAGCTGAAAGTCCAAAATGTATTTTACTTTTTAACTGTTAACAAGAGGTGCTTCTCATAACCACCCATGGCATTTGGTAGTGGGAAATTTTCATGCACTCTCTTAACAGCTGTACCTTGGGGAAGGAAAGGGCAAAGTTTGCCATATAGGTATTGGAGTATCCAGGCTCCAAATGATAAAAACAAATGATGAAAGAGAAGCCAGCAAATGAATCTTTGTAATTCTCTTCTCTAGGGGCCTTCCTAGGAAGTGTAAGTATGTCTCTCGTGTGTTGGAAGCTGGGCCTTCTCAGCCTCACTCTTTCTGGAAACTTCCTGAGTATACCTCCTATATAACCTCTTTTCTTCATAATTCCTCAGTGTACCTCAGGCCTTCAGAATGACTCCAGCTCCTTAGTATGACAGAAAAGGCCCTTTAAGAAATGGTCCCCAATGGTCTACATCTCCAGTCTCATCTTTCTCCTTTCCTTTACCCATATACATCCTACACATTTGATAGTTATCCCCCAAATCCATAAACTTTCAAATGCCAGTGCCTATGCATATGTAACACCCTCTGTCTGGAACTCCTTCCTCCACTTCCCTATCTTCCTGGCATGAGCTCCTATTCATCCTCCTAGACGCCACCCATTCTCTGAGAATGTCAATGTCTCTTCTGTGAAGATTCAGAAGTACCTCTTGTGCTCTGCATGCAACTCTATTACCATGTAACATAGTGATTTGAAAATAAATACACACGCATGTATATGATGACTGTGAGCATTTTTAGGGCACAAACTTATTTTTCTCTGCCTCTATGTTTGTGGGTATTTTGCACTATTCTTGGCATGAAGTGGGTCTTCATGTATTTATCTGTTCAGCAAATATTTACTGAATACATGCCAAGTGCTAAGTACCATCTTAAGCTTGGAATAACAAGTCGGATGAACATTATAGGACTTAAATCCAGTAACAATAAATATCTGCTGAATTAAATATTCCTTGTTACAGTTGGTATAAATATACCTCCTTCCTCAGAAACAGCATGGCAATTTGCAGCTAATCATGATACAATATATGTTGTCCTATGTTTTAGTTGTTTGCATGTTTTATTATACCACTCAATAAGACTTCAAACTACTAAGAGCCAGGGATCACAAAAAGGGGTCACCTTAGAGTGCCGCTTCTGTTCTCCCATGCAACTCTTTCATATATGAATTATAATACTGAATAAAAACACTATAATTATTTGTTTTTGTATTTCCTGCAAAAAAAACCACTTTCTTAATGTTGAGAGACCATACATAGTATTTATTAGTGTTTTTTTGTGTCTGGCAAGTCAATACTCAATAAATATGCCTGGCATGACTGGATTAGCACAACATCTTGAAAATAGTATCTCCCTAATAAATACCCTAGAAATGATCTATTTCGCTTAAAACCCATATAGTCTTAAATATAGCTCCCTCTAATTGTCCATGGTGTAAGATTCACCTCCATGACTACATCGAAGGGAAAGACTAAGTTGATTTAATATTTCTAATTAGATAATGGATTCTTTGAAGAAAGTTATTGGTATATCTTTCACTATTTCCTTTTGTTATTGCCACTCAGAATAGATAATAATTATCAATAAATGTTCATTAGCTGCTTGACGGTTTAATTATTCAATCAGGGTAGAAAACAGACAACAATCCAAAATGGAATTTCTCTTATATAATAACATGTTGATGGTTTGTTGCCTACTTTTAATCTATTGATTAAAATTTTTGTATGTTACACTAAAAACTATTTTTCGAAGTAAAATAAACTCTAGAGATAATTTAGACCAGAGAGATGGCAATATAGGCTTATTTAGAATCTATTGAAGTTTGGATCCTCTCCAAGTAAAAAAACATATTTTCAAACATATTTAAATCATTTTGCATACCATTCTAAGTAATTCAAGGCCTCCCTTGAAGCCTTAGATGACTGCGACTTCTGGTTCATAACCCGTTTTTGGCCCTCATGTTAAAGATGGAGAAATCCCTAGTTTGAGGACAGTAGGCTGCTTCCCCAAGATCACACAGGTACCTTACCCCAGACTCCTCTATACTAAGCATTAACATAACTAGAAATGGCAATGAACTCTAAGTGCAATAATTCCTTCCTTCCTTCCTTTCCTTTCCTTTCCCTTTCTCTCTCTTTCTTTCTTCCTTTTCTTTCTTTCTCTCTCTCTCTTTTTTTCTTTCCTTCTTTGAAGGCAGAGTCTCGCTCTATCACCCAGGCTGGAGTGAATGAAGTGGTGACAATCTTGGCTCACTACAACCTCTGCCTCCTGGGTTAAAGCAAGTCTCATGCCTCAGCCTCCAGAGCAGCTGGGATTACAGGCATGTGCCACCACACCCAGCTAATTTTTTGTATTTTCAGTAGAGATGGGATTTCACCATGTTGCCTAGGCTGGTCTAGAACTCCTGAGCTCAGGCAATCCACCTACCTCAGCCTCCCAAAGTGCTGGGATTACCGGTGTAAACAACCGTGCCTGGCCTCTAAGTACAATGATTTCATTCGAATATTGTTAAATAATTTGCATCCTAGCAAGTTCAAAATACCCTACACCTGTATTCTGTTTCATTTACAAAATTTCTGAGAAGCCCAAAATGACTCAACATAGCGATTCCGAAATTTCAGTTGTTCAGTCTAACAACAAACATTTGATTCAATGCGACAAGGGGATATTGACTGCCTTTTACGAGTTCAGCTCTATGCTAGGTACCAAAAGTACAGAGGTGAAAAATATGCACATAAGGAGCAAAGATAGCCACTTCATCTGACCTTGGACAGAGGAAGTGTGTCTAATTCATCCAGTGCCCAGCACAGGGTCTCGTAGCTAACGATCTGAGACATTTATTTAACCAAAATAACATAAGAGATGGCTCATGCCCTTAAATAGCTCGCATTTTCTGGGAACTTTTTTTACTGTTATTTCTATTTGTCTCGACTGAATCTTCAAACTCTTTTTTGTTTTGTTTAGTATTGTTAATGCTTACAATAATATTAAGAAATGCTAAAGGCAAACAAACTTTTAAAAAGTTATAATAAAATTGTAACTACTCATTAAAAATCAGGATAATTTTTTAGTATCTTAAGAAAATAATTCTTTTTAAATCCAATTTGGTATTATTTTGTACATCAAGCTTAATTAGTATAACTATATGTTTTTCTTTTAAAACTTTTATTATAAATCAGTTATTTTAAAGTGTGCAACATTGAATATGATGTCTTGGTCCAATCTATCTTTCTTTTGAGGAATTTATGTTCATTTGCTTCTATTACAACTTTTTCATACTTCTCACCATTTTATACGTACACACACACACAGACACAAACATATACATATAAAACAGAAGTATTTATTAACTGAGTCTTAAGGATATGGTTAGATGCCACAATATAGTTTTCTATGAAATTCAGCCATCTTTTTTATCCTCATGTGGTGCAATTTACACATACTAACTTCACTTGGCTTATTTTTTTTATATATATTTAAAATCAATGCAAATCAAAACCACAATGAGATACCATCTCATGCCAGTTAGAATTGCAATCATTAAAAAGTCAGGAAACAACAGATGCTGGAGAGGATGTGGAGAAATAGGAACACTTTTACACTGTTGGAGGGAGTGTAAATTAGTTCAACCATTGTGGAAGACAGTGTGGTGATTCCTCAAGGATCTAGAACCAGAAATACCATTTGACCCAGAAATCTCATTACTGGGTATATACCCAAAGGATTATACATCATTCTACTATAAAGACACATGCACACATATATTTATTGTAGCACTGTTCACAATAGCAAAGACTTGGAACCAACTCAAATGCTAATCAATGATAGGCTGGATAAAGAAAATGTGGCACATAGACACATCATATAATACTATGCAGCCATAAAAAAGGATGAGTTCCTGTCCTTTGCAGGGACACGGATGAAACTGGAAACCATCATTCTCAGCAAACTAACACAAGAACAGAGAACCAAACACTGCATGTTCTCACTCATAAGTGGGAGTTGAACAATGAGAACACATGGACACAGGAAGGGGAACATCACACACAGGGGCCTGTCAGGGTGTGGAGGGCAAGGGAAGGGAAGGCATTAGCAGAAATACCTAATGTAGATGATGGGTTTATGGGTGCAGCAAACCACCATGGCACATGTATACCTATCTAAGAAACCTGCATGTTCTGCACATGTATCCCAGAACTTAAAGAAAAAGATAATAGGAGAATACTAAAAAAAAAAAATCATTGGTATTGAATGAAAGTATAAAATAATAAAATAAAATCACAGCAAAACATGCATCTAACAAAAGATCTAATCTTGGAAAGCTGGAGGTAAATAATATAGAGATTTTTATAACTGTTATTTCATAACTTAAGTTTATAGCTTATAGTCTAAGTATTTCCAAATCCTAAAGTATACAGCAAAAATTCGATATCTTACACACCTACTGCACAAGCCACAAGTTACAACTGATTTTCAGCAATAAATTATTTTTCTTAATACAACCTTTTTAAGTTCATCATCCAACACAATGAAATTATACAAAACACTTACTAGCTTCAAGGTATTTTTGGTTCCACAGAAACTGTGCTTGCAATTGTCATTTTTAATCAACAGAAACCTCTTGAGCTTATGAATCAGTAAGAATAATTAACATTAGTGAAGCTTTTCCAAACACCAAGAAAAACAGAATTTCTTTTTTCCTGCCTTTCTTATTAAAGGAAAAAGAAAGTAAAGGAATGCTATTAGAGTAACCTAGTACTATCAAGTCATCTTTCAGGGCTAAATCGATCACTAGCACTATCTGCTCCTACAATAAAGAAATGGGAGGAAAAAAACATATATATATGTATATGTATATATATACACACATATATATACACATATACATATAGATACATATACATATATATACACATATACATATATACATATACATATATATACATATATACACATACATATATATACATATACATATATATACATATACGTATATATATACATATACGTATATATATAGTGACAATCTAAAGGAAGGAAGAAGAAAAGATTAATTAGATCAAAATGTAAACTGTTCTAAACAAAATTATTTCTAAAGTAGACACCTTATAAAGGCTTGAAAGTGTGTTTCTACTATAGTTTTTATTTCCACATAATCTCTGTCCTCCTCCACAAGCAAGGGGCAATTAAATTTCTTGTCAATATTCATTTTTTTGATGATCTAGAACACAAAATAACAAATGCATTAGTGAAATATTTTACCCATTTTGAAAAATAATGTCCGTTCTTACGGACTCTAAATAAAAAGTACATGCGGAGGTTTCACTGGCAAGACATACACTTCTAATGAACAAAAAAGGAAGTCAAGAGGAAAAAACCCAATCCCTTCAAACAACTGTGTACTACCCAGCTAGCTATGACACTAAAATAAAATGCATTTATTTTTGCAATGATGTTTTATATCCAAAGTGGTAGAAAATACTGCAAAAGTACACTACAGGAGTTGTGCTAAAATAAAATCACATGTGTGAGCTAAATGATGAGAACACAGGGACACATAGAGGGGAACAAGGTAACACACACTGGGCCTTTTCAGAAGGTGGAGGTAGAAAAATAACTAATGGGTACTAGGCTTAAAACCTGGGTGATGAAATAATCTGTACAACAGACCTCTCTCTCTCACACACACACACACACAAGTTTACCTATGTAACAAATCTGCATATGTACCCTTGAACTTAAAATAAAAGTTAAAAATATAGGAATTGTAAAGAAAACAAAATCCATGCCAGTAAGGTTGTTCGTCAGCTTTCCCCATATACTCTGGTTCTCAAGTTACTGAAGATGCTAATGAATTGTAGATAGTATTTTTTGTTTTTGTTTTTGAGATGGAGTCTTGCTCTGTCGTCCAGGCTGAAGAGCAGTGGCATGATCCAGACTCACGGCAACCTCCACCTCCCAGGTTCAAGCAATTCTCCTGCCTCAGCCTCCCAAGTAGCTGGGATCACAGGCATGGGCCATCACACCTGACTAATTTTTGTATTTTTAGTATAGTATAGATGGAGTTTTGCCCCTGTCTCTTTAGTAGAGGCAGGCTGGTCTTGAACTCCTGACCTCAGGTGATCCTCCCGCCTCAGCCTCCCAAAGTGCTGGGATTACAAGTGTGAGCCACTGTGCCCGGCCTGTAGGTAGTATCTTTATCCCTGTGAACCAGACTTGAGAAATACTGTTTCAGAAGCTATCCATTTAAATGTGATAAGCCCTTTGTCCTTTGTATATACAATACATGATATATAAATAATCTCTAGGGCAGTATATATAGAAAAATGTAAATTGTTGTTTATATACATGTGTCTAGGATATCTATCACCATGGTAGCTTAATGATTAAAAAAAAAAAAACTGGTGCTGGCTGGTATGTTTAATTTTAAAAAGTATACAGTGACATTTCCAGCAGTTGATCTGTTTATATTATGAGCAAATTATACTCAGGAAGTATGGCGGAAGTAAAAAGGAAGTCTTCTCCCTGAGTTCTGGAATCCTCTTTTAGAATCAGCGTGTTTTACTGCTTAAGCCCCATGAAGACTATAAACAAAGAAAGCAGTGTCTCTCATAGGAAGGAAGAATGGAGAATGGACGGTCAGGCATGCCCTTTTGCCTTCATGAAGATCCAACACCCTTCCTCTCTACCATGGATAAGCTGTAGGCATCCTTCTCTAAAATAGAGAGTAAGAGAACAATAATCTTTTATATGATGATAAAGACAGAGATAAAGATGGAGAAAGAGAGATATAGCAATACAGATAGAAATGTAAAGGAGTTGAAACAAAAAAGTAAAGGAGTTGAAACAAAAATGTAGAGGAGTTGGAAAAAAAAAGCTGTCAGAGAATAGTACAAGTGCTTAGCTTAGTATGTGTGAGCATAGAAGGCCAGAGCAATAGGATGCCCCGGTGTTTACCTGGTTCAGCCACTTCACTTACACCTGAGGAAAATGAAAACCAGGAAGGTTAACAGCCTCGCAGAAGAATTACTGGATGCTAAACAACAGACTGTAGCCCTCACTAGTCACCCAACCATCACATGTAATCAATATTACATGAGGAAAATGACTCTGAGGCGATATCAGAGGAAGACAAGACCAGATAAATGATCTTACAGAGTAGAGATGACCATGTATAGGACATGGGGACATGGTAAGGATAGCGGTGAGTTGGAGAATGTATGACCCATCTAAAGAGAGCAGAGCTACTAAGTCCGGGTGCAGTGGCTTGCGCCTGTAATCCCAGCACCATGGGAGGCCGAGACGGGTGAATCACCTGAGGTAGGAAGTTCGAGACCAGCCTGGCCAACATGGTAAAATCCCATCTCTACTAAAAATACAAAAATTAGCCAGGTGTGGTGGTGTGTGCCTGTAGTCCCAGCTACTCTGGAGGCCGAGGCAGGAGAATCGCTTGAACCCGGGAGGCGGAGGTTGCAGTAAACTGAGACCATTCCATTGCACTCCAGCCTGGGCGACAAGACCAAGACTCCATCTCGGAAAAAAATAAAAATAAAAATATATAAATAAAAAAAAAAGAGAGTAAAGCTACTTCACTCAAGTGGATTTTTGCCTTGTGGGAATACAGGTCTGGTGTTACTGGATATACTGAATTTTCAAGACAACTCAGAAATCCAGATTTTTAGTAGAAATCCTCTGATATTTAATTTCTGGACATTAATTCAATTTTTTGAACTGCCATGCAGACCTAACATGTAGACAGCTTGGAAACTGCCTGTAGTGCTCCAGCTCATGTACCCCAGTCTACAGCAGTGCAAATGTCCTCAGAAAACATTTTTTAAATGTGGCCAAACTGGTCAAAAGTTGATGCCTCTAGTGACTTCACTAAGATAATCAATAGATTTCAATCAAGAGAACTTTTCAGTGAAACCTACTCAAGATGGTTGGATTTGCCTTTATTTTTCACTTGCTCAGCCTTCTCTGAGGGCCACCTAATTGGTCTTGGCTTCTCCTTTAGGTTTGCCGATATCGTATTTTGAAAATTAACACTTTTCTGGGTTAAAATTTTTTCTCTGCTTATAAAATCAGGACTCCTGCTTGCAAATACACTTACGATGAACACCACAAGAGAGGAAAAATGTCAAATTTTCTTCAGAAACTTGTGAATGGCTCAGGAATTGCTTTGGGAAGCTCTCTTTGGAGAACAGAGAGGGATGATTTCTATACACAAACTGAAGAGTGTTAGATGCCATTTCCTATGTACTGCCCTATGAAACAGCCAAAGCAGGCATACCAGAAAAAGACAGAAAGCAATTTCAGTCTCATCTAAACCTTCCCATTCATGTTCCCTGGTTTCTCAACTTGCTTATTTAAAAATTCCTGCTTGTCCTATTATTTGTTGATTATTAATTTATTCACTAAGTAAATATTTGTTGAGAACTGACAACAAAGACCATAACAAAGTTATGTTCTGTATCTTTATGGAGGTTAAATTCCAGAGGCGTTGAGAGCTATAGATGGATAGAGTGGTGTGCTGGTAAATATTTAACAAGCAGTTCTCCAGGGATGAGGCTCTGATTTACAGAGTTTGATGATTCCTGTGATGTAATTATTTGCACCATAACTGATTTCAAACTACCAATGTAACACCATGGATGCAAAGTTGGGCTTGGCTTCTCTATTGATTTTGGTGTGATTTAGAACTTACCAGTACAACCCAGGAAGTGGCAAAATGAAATTTGGAGTCAAAAATAAGTGGGCTATCATCTGGATTCTGCCTCAATTTAGACATGAAGACGTGGCTATATATAAGCCTCTGTCAGTTCCCATATTTACAAAATGGTATTAGTTATACCAAATTATACTTCTCTCATGGGACTATGAAGGGTTAATTTGACCATTAGTGTAAATTCTCTAGAACAGTCTGTGGCACATGGTAGAGGCTCAGCAAATGATGACTGGTTTTTCCGCCCTTTCTCATTCTTAAAATTCTACATTGCATATAGACGTGAACCTTAAAATCCTTCATATAAGGTATAAAAACTTAATAGTTGACATGCATTTAAGTTTTACTGTGTAAGAGGCCCATACTAAGTGCTTTACACATTCTTTAAGCAAGAAACTCAACATCATATCCCAAATGTTTGCTTAAAGAAACTTGCTTAGGCCAGGCGCCTGTAATCCCAGCACTTTGGGAGGCCAAGGCAGGTGGACCACATGAGGTCAGGAGTTCAAGATCAGCCTGGCCAACATGGCAAAACCCATCTCTACTAAAAATATAAAAATTAGCTGGGCATGACGGCAGACACCTGTAATCCCAGCTACTCTGGAGGCTGAGGCAGGAGAATCACTTAAACCCGGGAGGCGGAGGTTGCAGTGAGCTGAGATTATACCACTGCACTTCAGCCTGGGTGACAGAGTGAGACTCCATCTCAAAAAAACAGAGAACGAAAGAAAGAAACTTGCTTAAAGAAACTCAGTGTCATAGCACACTATTATATAGCACATCATTATATAATATATCCACCATACAGACATGATAGATATAAATAAGCTCAAGAGCACAGGTAACAGCAAAATGTAGCCAAGTAATTAGAAAGTGATGCATTTTGAGTGTCATTACCTAGTTTTTGATATAATTTAATTGTAAGTTTAAATAATTTGATTTTTAACAATGTCTGTGCTTAACAACTGACTCAAAAAATTTCTGAAAATTTAATAATTTGTTCAGTACACTGCTAGCTAGACAGATAGATGAATTTTTATATAACATAAACAAGTGATAATGTTAATGAAGAAAAATAAGGCGGAGAAAGAGATAAAGAATAATAGAAGAGGTTATCCATTGGAAGAGGCCTAAGAATCAAAACCTCTGATGCTAGAAGTGGTCAGCCAATGACAGAATACCTTCTATCACTACATCTGCCTAGTATAACCAATCGGTGCTTTAACACTTCCTGTGACAGCAGCTCACTACTTTAGTAGCCAATTCTATCTTTGGACATTTCTGACTGAAAGTACTTCCTTTTATTGAGCTAAAAATCTATCTTCCTATAGCTATGGTTTTTCAACTGTGTTTTGTTATGCTTTAGAGGTTCTACAAATTGGGCACAAGGACCTCAGACGCCTTAAAGTCTGGTGAGGGGAGAAGTGGAAAGGCTGGCTAGAGACCAGTGCAGCTTTGCTTCTAACAAAGCGGTTGCATAATTTATCTCTTTATATACTGGGAATCTCTGTAAGCTTGTATTCGAGAAAACATTTTTATAGTTAAAACTTGGTTGAAATCCACTTCTGTAATCATCTATTATATATTGTCACCAATCTATAAATTTTTACAATGACATACATCTTTGTATCAATGAAGATGGGCTAGATTATGCAATGGTAACAAATCATCCTTAAATCTAAATGGTTTAATACAGCAATCATTTATTTCTCACTCATGCAAATGTGCTCCAAATCCTGATAACATTGTTCACTTTGCTCACTTTCATTCATCATAGAAAGTCACATTAACTTTAAAGAAGAGGCACAGAAGGGCTATATTCCCTGAGCTCAAGAGTAGAACTCAAAATATTATTGAGCAACACTAATGACTATTATAATCTTCTAATCATTTGCTATACTATTTATACCCACCTAATAACTTTAATGAGCAATATACTCAGTCAGATCTTTTAAAATTCCACATGAAACTCTGATGCTCACGACCCTCACTCTTTATTTCCTATTGAAAACCACTGATTGAACTTGTCAGAAGACATACCTTTCCACCATTTCCAAAGTTGACTTCTATCCTACCAGGACTCAGTGATACATATAAGACCAATTATACTTTCCCAAGTTATAATCTCAATGTACTTTCCATATTTCCTATGATCTTTGAATTGGTATCTGAATTACCACTAGCATTCCTGGGCCTTTTCCTAATTGTTTTCTTAGGAACTGAATCACTGAATGCCACAGTGGTTCACTGGATGCCACAAAAACTCTCAGTCTTGCCTTCCCGCTCTGTGCTCGACACATAGAAATTAGAGTCATATGTTTATCTGGACCAAATCCTCTCTTCATTTCCACATTTAATTTAAATCACTCTCGACCAAGTTACCTAGATGCCAATTAAATACATTTCTTGCAGGCATATCATTTTTTTTATCTTTAGCCAAAAGTTATTTCAGTCCTTATTCAAGTTTACAGACAGCAGCTGTTCAACTTCCAGATCTTCTGTCTTCTAAAGTTTCATCCTGCAATGGAAACACTGAATGTGTTCCTATATGCTTCCAAAGCCTTAAGTTTTACCTCCTACCTCAGAATCTTCATAAAAATTTGTCTAGACATTGTGATTATTTCTTTCAATCTTACACCTATCATTAGGAGTCCAAAGATTTCATAAGCAACATCAAATTCACAGCAATATAGTGGAATCTCAAGAAGATGGCATGCATACGTCTTGTCATTTTTGTGTCTCCTAAAAGGAATTCACCAATGGTTATGACTGATCTCTTTCTCCAGGGGTCACAACAGAAGTTCTTCTTCCTGTCATTGTTTAAGTGATACCCCCAGAGCCCGATATATGTTCTAACATACAGTAAATACTGAATAAATGTGTGTTTAATTTTTTAAAATAGCTGAATGAATGAAGACATTTTTGCTTTCATTTAGCTCTAGATATTCATCAGTGGGGTGAGTCTCACACTTACATATTGCTGAATTTGATTTGCTAATATTTTATTGAGGAATCTTATGTTTATGTTCCTGGGAGATATCCATCTAGAGTTTATTTTTCTTATAGCATCTTTGACTGGCTTCATAAAATGCTGGCTTCATAAAATGAGTTGGAAAGTGCTACCTCCTCTTCTATTTTCTGGAAGAGATTGTGAAGAACTGGGACTATTTTATCCTAAATGTTTCATAGAATTTGCCAGTGAAATAAACTGAGCCTAGAGTTTCCTTTAGCAGGTTTTAAACTAAAAATTCAATTTACTTAATAGCCATAGAACTAGCAAGTTTTCTAATATTCTTTTTGATAGTTTTTATCTTGCAATAAATGGATCCAGTCCCTCAAAGCTGCTGAATTTATGGGCATACAATTGGTTATAAGGTCTCCTTACTATTCTATCAATGTTTGTGAATTCACTAGTCATGTCCCCTCTTTCATTTCTGCTATTAGGAATGTGTGTCAGTTTTTCTTAATCAGCCTTGCAAGAGGTTTACCAATTATATTGATCCTTTAAAAGAGTCAGCTTTTGGTTTCATTAATTTTGTCTATTGAATTTATGTTTTCAGTTTCATTAACCTCTGCTCTAATCTTTATTATTTATTTCCTTCTGCTTGCTTTGTTTTTAACTTGTTCTTCTTTCTCTAAGCTTCTTTCTCTAATTTCTCAAGGTGTAAGCTTGGGTTACTGAATTTGGCTCATTCTTCATTTCAATAGAGGCATTTGGCACTAAAAATGTACCTCAGCATTGCTTTAGTAGCATCCCACAAATTTTGATATGTTGCATTTTCCTTTAGTTCAAATTATTTTTAACAATTTTTAGAGTAAATTTAGGCTGACAGAAAAGCTGCAAGGATAATTCAGAGAATTATTTTGTACCCATCACCTAGTTTTCTCTATTGTTATCACATTCTATAAACATAATACATTTTTCAAAACTAGGAAACTAATATTCATACATTACTATTAACTAAGCTCCAGACATAACTCAAATTTCACTAGTATGTCCACTAGTGTCCTGTTCTCTATTCCAGGATCACATTGCACTGAAATGTCATGTCTCCTTACCATGCTCTTCTGTTGTCTGGGAGAGCTTCTCACTCTTTCTTTGCTTTTGATGACCTCTACAGATTTGGGGAGTAGCTTTCATGTATTTTGTAGAATGTTGCTCAATTTGGTTTTGTCTGGTGGTTTTCTCATTCAAATGTGGCTAGGTGTTTTGGAGAAGAAGGCCACAGAGTTGAAGTGTGCTTCTCATCTCATTTTATCAGAGGTTACTTGCTATCAACATGACTCATCACTGGTGATGTTAACCTTGGTCACCTAGGCAAGTCAGTGTTTATGAGAGTTCTCCACTGTGAAGCGACTTTATTTCCTTTTGCAGATTCAATTATTTGGAAGCAAGACACAAAGTACAGTCCACACTCAAGGCAGAGAGAGTTAAGCTTGACCCCCTAGAGGAGACAATATTTCATAGATTATGTAATATTTCTGTAAGAAAGGTTGGTCTCCTTCAATTTATTTATTTTTCAATCATTTGTTTATATCAATGTAGATGCACGTGTATTTATTTTATACTTGTGTTGTAGCCCAGTGCCACATAATTTATTTTCTTGCTCAAATTGTTCCAATTTTGGCCATGGGAAGCATTTTTCAGCTTGGCTTCTGTAAACTTGTTTCTGAGCACTTATTTATTTTCTGACACTACTAGATATTTCAAGCACATCTTGTATTTTCCTGTCCAGCCCTAGAACTGGCCATGTCTTAAGAGTCCCTTGTTCCTTTTAGAAGAACTGTGTTTAGAAACCTCTCTGTATGCTCATTGCCACTGAAGTGTCACTGACTCTAGTTCTTAACAGAAAGAGCTAATTTACACATTTAGCTATAATTATTTTTGTATCTCTCCATTTACATTTATATTAAGCTAAACATGAGATCGTACCAACATCTCTGACTATAACCTAATACAACATGGTTCATTCTAGCTTTTCTCCTCCCCTTGGTTATCTGTACCAGATGCTTTTTGCTTTGTTTCGTTTTGTTTTAAATTATCCTTGAGACTTCTTAGTTAAACCCTGAGTTTATTTAGAAGAGTATTTTTTCATTTTCAAATATTGAAGGATTTTCAATAGATCTTTTTGTTATTGATTTCTAGTTTAGCTTTATTCTTATCCAAGAACCAACTTAGTATAACTTCTATTCTGTTAAATTAATTAAAGTTTGTTTTATGGCCCAGAATATAGTCTATCTTTGTGAATGTTCAGTGTTCACTGGAGAAAAATAAAAATTATGTTTTTGTTGATTGGAGTGCTCTATAAAGGTCAAATACATAATTTTTATAGCATGGTTTAGGCCATCTATATCCTTAACGATTTTTGCCTTCTTGTTTTGTCAATAAGAAAGGAGTGTTGAAGTTTGTAATTATAATTGTAAATTTGTTTCTATCTCTTTCAAATCTGGTAGTTTTGCTGCATGTATTTGAGGTCACATCACAAGCATACACATTCAGGATTATATCTTCTTGGATAATTTGCTCCATTATTATTAGGCAATGCCTCTGTTTGTCTCTGATAATATTTCTTATTCTGAAGTCTGCTTTGTTTAAAGTTAATATAGTTATCCATAATTCTTTCAGTTAGCATTGTCATGGTATATCTTTCCATATCCTCTTACATTTAACTTATATAATTCTTTATATTTAAAGTGTTTTGTTGTTGTTGTTCGTACATTGCATACAGATGGATCTTGTTATTTTATCCTATCTGAAAATCTCTGACATTTAACTGGCATGCTTAGACCATTCATGTTTAAAGTTATTATTAATCTGGTTGAGTTTATATATTCCATCTTGCTAGCTGTCGTCTATTTGTTTAATTTACTCATTGTCTCTTTTTTCCTCCTTTTCTGCCATCTCTGAGCTGAACTGAACATTTTTATTATTCCATTTTATTTCCTAAATTGACTTATTAATTATAACTTTTTTAAACTTTTTAAGTGATTTTCCTAGGGGTTATAATTACATATTTTAACAAAATAAGTCAACCTTTAAATAATATTACATCACTTCATGTGTAGTATAAGGACCTTAAACCAGTAGATTCCTAATTCCTCCCTCCCATCTCTTGTATCATTTTTGTCATAAATTTCACTTGATTATATGTTACAAAAACAATATATATTTTTACAATTTTGCTTTAAACAGTCAGCTATCCTTTAGAGGAATAAAAATAAGGAGACCAGGTGCAGTGGCTCACCCCTGTAATCCCAGCACTTTCAGAGGCCAAGGCAGACGGATCATTTGAGGTCAGGAGTTCAAGACCAGCCTGGCCAACATGGTGAAACCCTGTCTCTACTAAAAATACAAAAATTAGACAGGCATGGTGGCGCAAACCTGGAATCCCAGCTACTCGAGAGACTGAGGCAGGAGAATGGCTTGAAACCGGGAGGCAGAGGTTGCAGTGAGCCATGATCACGCCACTGCACTCCAACCTGGGCAACAGAGTAAGACTCTGTTTCAGAATTATAATAATAATAACAATGAAAATATTTTATTATACTTTTACTTATTCCATTACTGATGTTCCTCATTTCGTTGTGTAGATCCATTTTTTGATCTATATGACATTCCTTCTGACTTGAAGAGATTCCTTTACATTCCTCCTAGATTCGATTTGATAGCCATTAATTCTCTCAGTTTTTATTTTTCTGAGAAGGCGTTTAATTTTCTTTCCACTTAGGAAAAATATAGAATTCTGGCTTGACAATTTTTTTCTTTGCACTTTAAATACGTCACTTCAGTGTCTTCTGGCTTGCATGTTTTCTGATGAGGAGCCTGCTATAATTCTTATTCTTCTGCAGATAATATGACTTTTTTCCTTTGCCTGCTTTCAATACTTTCCCTTTGTATTTGGTTTTCAACTTTTAAAAACATTATATGTTGAAGTGTGAGGTTTTGGCATTTATCTTGCTTGATGTTCTTCCAGCTTTTGGATCTATAATTTGGTGTCGTTTTACCAAATTTTGGGAAATTCTCAGCCATTATTTCTTCAAATATTTTTTTCTGACTAGTTTTCTCTTTTTTCTCCTCCTAGGATTCCAGTTAGATGTAGAATAGGCTGTTTGATAATGTCTCAGCTCTTGGATGCTCTGATCTTCTTCGGTTTTCTCAAATCTATTTTCTCTTTGAGTTTTATTTTGGGAAATTTCCATTCACCTACCTCCAAATTCAGTGATTCTTTCCCCAACTATGTAAGTCCACTAGTGAGTCAGTTGAAGGTATTCTTTATTTTTGTTACTGTGGGGTTTTTTTAATAGCATTTTCCTTTGCTTCTTACAGTTTTCATTTCTCAGCTAAAATTATCTATCTGCCATTACATGTTGTCTAACTTTTCCAATAGAGTTTTTAACATGCTAATCAGTTATTTTAAATTTCCTTTCTGATAGTTCCAATATCTATGTCATATCTGAGACGGGCTCTGATTTGTGTCTTTTCAAATGACTTTTTTTTGCATTTTTGTATTCCTTGTAATTTTTTGTTGAAAGCCAGCTTTCAACAAAAAATTTGACAGTAGATATGGAAGTAAATGTTTTTTAATGCTTGACGATGAGTGAGCCTTTTGTTCTGCTAAATGTTTAGCGTAGGGAAGGGGGTTGTGTTAATCTAATCAGGTGTTGGGCTGTTTTTGATGTTTGCAGTTGCTATGATTACACGCAGTGAATTTCAGAATTCAAATTTCTCTAGTGATACCCTGTGCTTAATGTATGCAGTAATTTTTCAGAAGCCTTCCTTCTTTGCTTTGGGCTATCCCTTTGCACCTCTCTCAAAAGAGAAACTCCTTGTTGGAGCTTTCCCAGTTGTATGTCACAATTATTTTTATTTGATGTACATGGTGGGGTAGGGCTAAAGAGTGTGGAAAGCATCTAATATTCTGATTCAGCTTCATTCTTAATCAGGCATTGTGAACCTGGGTCACAATAGGGGGTGTAATTTTCCTAAGTGTTCCTTCTCCTCCGGAAGTATTGCTGGACAAAACCTACATTCCTGCCCCTTCCCAGAGTAGAACATTTTTATTTTTCCTGTTTTTTTCCCCAAGACGCAGTGGATTTGCACCAGTTCTCTCAGGCTACAATTTTAGTTACTCTTCCTCCTGCAGATTAAGGCATTTGTCCATATGAAGATTAGGGAGGTAGGTGTGGGCAATCTCAGAGTGGCTACTATTCCTTCCCCCAGCTAGCACTATAGAGAACAAGGGCAGTTTTCTTAGGATTCATTCTAATCTTCCCTCAAAGTAACTCTGAGTACCTGGTGGGACCTCAGGAGGAAAAAGTCTGTAAAATATATGAAGCCCTCTATTATTAAATATTATGGTCCCAGGGACTTCACTACCATGCTAGGCCACACTCAGCCTCAGCAAATTTTTAAAAAATTCTACCTGAATATTAGCAGCTTATATGCAACTTCTTCCCTAGAATAAAAAGTCCCATATTTATTAAATATCTATGCTTTAAGTCCAATGATCAGTAACTTAGGAGGCAGGGACAGAAAAATAACAACTTAGACTACTAATATTATTTTGCAAGAAGTATCAAGAGGATTTATGGATACACCTAGTTCCCATAAGCCAGCTTTTCCAATAAGTTTCATGAATTCCTATGAAATGTGAACTTTGGAAAGGAAAACTATCCTGTAGGTGAAGAGTTTGTTAAAACTCCCTAAAGGGACAAAATTAGCAATTTCTCAGTAAATCAGGCAAGTCTTCCATGTCGTTGAATACAGAATATCTTATGTTAGTCCAGATGCAAAATATGATGAAATTTAAATATGAGTCAGATTGCCATAAAGATGATAAAACCATCACTGTAAAAGTATTCACAGCCAGTACCAGAAGGATGTAGCATATAAGGAAGATGAGTAAGAAGTTGTTTTTAAAGAAAAAAAAAATCTCAGGAAAGGAAAACTAAAGGAGATTCTTGAAGCTCATTTCAGGACAGATAACAGAAAACTCACCAAGAGAATGTTGAGATAGATAGATAGATAGATAGATAGATAGATAGATAGATAGATAGATAGATAGGTAATTTTGTTTTTAATTTTTTTTTAGAGATGGGGTTTGTCCATGTTGCCTAGGCTGGTCTTGAACTTCAGAGCTCAAGCGAACTGCTTGCCTCAGCCTCCCAAAATGCTGGGATTACAGGTGTGAGCCACTGCACCTGGCCCCAATAGATGTTTTCAAACAGATTATTGAGATAATTATGGATAGTAGACTCTTTCAACATGTGATTCTATCGATTAGGATGTATCTAGCTTCAAGTAATAGAAAATCCATGAGCAGCAAACAAAAAAGCATTTATTGTTTACTTATGCATATGTATGGAGGAAAGTATTTCCAGGGTTCATTCCTTTGCTAAACAGGGTCATCATGAACCAGTCTCTTTCCATCCTTGTGTTCCACCACCTCATTGTTTTAGGGTTTTGCCCTTGTAGTTATAGACTGACCACTACAGTTCCAGGTATAATATCATCACAACAATGTCCACAATTGAAAAAGGGGAGGTGGGGAAGAGCAATGTCAATGACCTCTCTTCATACACCCCTTTCCTTGGGAAGCAAATTATCTTTCTCAGAAACTTAAGTTTCTTTGGCCAGAACAGGGTCACATGTATGTATCTGGCTTTTCAAATTCTAATGGAAGGGGAAAAGAGATAAAAGAGGTAAGGAATAAGAAATGCTTTGGGGTCACCAGTTAATCATGTCTGCTACTGATCCAAATGGTACTGGGGGATTTCATGAAAGAAAACACCCACATTCTTCTGCCATCATTATGAGAGATAGATTGTGTTTAATGTAACTTTGTTATCACCCAAATGAACCATTCTGATGATCTGTAGCATCACTAGAGAGCCTGATTCAACTGGGCTTCAGAAAGCTGGACCTCCTTATTGCCTGCACACCAACTCAGACCTGAGGAGGCAGCAACAAAGCTGTATTCAGCATCAATCACACAAAGAAACTACCAAGAAGGGCTTGCTGTAAATGAAATTGTAAAATGCCAGCAATGGTTGTCAAATATGCACATCAGAGAATTTATTGGTTTATGAATTGTGTGTATATATATATATGTATGTATATATTTGTATATATATAAATATATATGTGTATATATATATGTAGGTGAAGTATTCATATATAAATTACTTTAGGGGTAATTTATAAGTCACATAAGAAATTCAGTCTTATTCCTTTATATTTCCACATAATCAATCCTCTAATATTTTTGCATACAGAGCACTGTCAATATTTTTTATGAAAAGTAGTATTGCCTAGTTCATTTTATTCACCAGATTTAATTCCTAAAATATTTAAACTATTTTCTTTAAGCATACTCACACTAAAATATTACTGTTTTTCATCACTAAGAATTTTTTTAATGTATCTATGGTCTTAAGGGTACAGTTAGTTGATTGTGCAATATTAAATATGTTTGCTTAAACAATGAAGCCAATGGTCTCCTTTTATCTTCACACTAAGTATGTGAAAGATACCCTAGGAAAAAGAACACACCAGCCTGAGAAGACTCAGTTATTGACCTTGAGGAATTGATTGATTTTACAAAAAATAAAAATAAAAAAAGACAATCCTGAGACTTGGGTTCTATTTCCATTGCATGATTTTATTCATTCACAAAACAATTGCTATCCCCTAGTATATAAAATGCACTGAGATGGGGGGTGAGAATGAAGGATTATAACTTCCTGGATTTGCTACCTGGCAAAGACAACTATAACACCAGGTAGAAAGTGGTCAAGAGAACAAGGGAAATATAAACAATTACATGTTGCAATAGTTTAGAAGACAGAGAATGGATGATTGCTTTCATTTTTAAGGGGTACATAGCAGATAAGCAGTGGAGCTCATGGGTGGCCAGGCATGGAAGGAAGAAACTATAGTGTTCATATTGACATAACAAGATATTAGAATCTGCAGAAAGAAAGTGTAGATGATGAAACTAGAGGGAAGCAACATTAGAGATGTAGGTAGGTATTCATCAAAGAGGCATATAAGACGTTCAGATGTTACTTGCAGGCAAGTGGAAGTCACCAATATTCTGAACAAGGGAGTTAGATGATCAGTCAGAACTAGGGTCCAGGGAGAAGAAAATGGTCAGATGAATTGATAGTGGGGAGACTGGATGCTCAGAGACCAGTAAAAAGAGTACTGCAAACAGATGAGACGTTATAACATGGCAAGGGCCTGAACCAGTGCAGGCGCAGTGGAAACAATAAGGAAGGGACAGAAGTAAGACATAAAGACAGTCACTCTCAACCTTGGCTGCTCTTCAGAATTACCTCTCCAGAATTTTTTTTTTTTTTTTTTTTTTTTTTTAGAGATGGAGTCTCACTCTGTCGGCCAGGCTGTAGTACAATGGTGCGATCTTGGCTCACTGCAACTTCTGCCTCCTGGGTTCAAGCAATTCTCATGCCTCAGCCTCCTGAGTAGCTGGGATTACAGACACACACCACCACACCCAGCAAATTTTTGTATTTTTAGTAGAGACGGGGTTTCACCATGTTGGCCAGGCTGGTCTCGAACTCCTGACCTTGCGATCCATCCGCCTCGGCCTCCCAAAGTGCTGGGACTATAGGCACGAGCCACTGTGCCCAGCCTGTCCAGAATTTTTTAAAATGCAGATGAACAACAGGAGAGAAGAATAAGAATTTTTCAGAAGAGGAAGCAAGAATGGCAGATATAAATAAGAAAAGAAGCTCAGCCTCATTAATTATCAGGAAAATGGAAATTAAAATCAGTATGCGATACCACTTTACAACGTCTAGTATAAAATTGGAAAAAAAATCTTGAGCAGTGTCTTAGTATGTTTCTGCTGCTATAACAAAATATCACAGACTGAGCAAATTATCAATAATAGAAATTAATTTCTCACAGTTTTGGAGATTGGGAAGTCCAAGATCAAGACACTGGCAGGTTCAGTGTCTGGTGAGGGTTGGATCTCTCTGTTTCCAAGATAGTACCTGTTGCTTGCCATGTCCTCCAGAAGGGTCAAATGCTGTGTCCTCATGTGGTAGAAGCAGCGGAAGGGAAAAAGGACCTAGCTAGGTCCCTCCAGCCCTTTTATAAGGCATTAATCTCATTCATGACGGCAGAGCCCTCATGACCAAATTACCTCCAGAAAGTCTCACCTCTTAGTACTGCCACGTTTGGGGTTTAAGTTCTAACATGCAAATTTTGGAGGGACACATACATTCAAACCATAGCAGGCAGTAACAAGTAAAGACAGAGATATGAAGCACCACAAATTCTCATACATGACTGTTGGAGTAAATTGATACAACCACTTTGGGGAAAAAAAGGCATCATTTTGCAAAGTTGAAAATGTAAATGTAAAGTTTAAGACAGCAATTTCACTCCTAGATATATGCACTAAAGATGTGCACCTGGCCAAAAAAAATCACCGAAAACAATCTTAATATCCATTCACGGGAGAGAAGATTAATTAATTGAGCTATAGTCATTAGTGGAGTACTACACTAAATAAGTGGGCCACAGGTGCAGGCATCAGCATGAATAAATATTAAAACTATAATAGAGAATAAAAAAGGCAGGTCATAGATTACACACAGTATGGCATTTACATAAAAATCAAACAAAATTTAACCAGCTACTGCTCAGGAAGACACATACCTATAAGGAAATCTAAGGGAAAAATAAATACAATATTGAGAGTAGAAATTACCCTTGAAGGGAGGAAGAAGGAAATGCTAGACCAGCAATACATAGGATGCATCAGCTATGTTGGTAACGTTCTGTTTTTCTGAGCTAAGTTGGAGCTAAACAGTTGTTTTGCTATATTTATACCTTATTTTTCTATTTTATATTGTACTTTTCAATATCTCTGAAATTTTCACAATACAAAAGATGGACATTCATATCCCAGCATATCCAGGGATAAGTTTTAAGGGTGACATTTTTTAAAGACTCTACAGTTGATTCTTATGCATGCCAGGAATGAGAACAACTGCACTAAATAGGCAAAATTGGCAGATCAATTTTAGATTGCAGAATGAGTATAAAATGACACTCAATTCTGAGTTTCTGTTTGTAGAAAGAGAAGTTAGTACCATTATCTAAAATGAGAAGTCAGAAAGAGAAGTAGATTAGGGAGAAGTATAGACAAAATAGATTTAAGACACAAGTAACTGGATAAAGCAGGTTTTTTTTAGTTTTCATGAAATAGAGAACTTCTATATGTAGGAAGACCAGGACTGGAGAAAGTAGACTTCTTTAGGAGACAGCTTCTAGCCCTAAGAGCTATTATACAGAATCTATGCTACTTTCCAGGAAAATGTGCAAAGAACTTGTTAAATAGTTTCAAAATCAAAGAAATATTGAATAAATCATAACAGGATTAGAACTTCCTGAATCTCCAATCATTCTACCAAGGGGCACCCTTGTACTTAACAGCATTGGAAGGGATAACTGTTGCTATGGCAATTACTCTCCTGCAACCTTAAGCAAGAATAAAAAAGACTGACAGTTTATAAATGACGCAACCACTTTAACCTTTCTAGGGGCAGAATAAGCTGCATTCCACTGTGCCTGACCAAGCTGTGGTCAGCTGGAGTCATCATTAGAGACAGAGTGCCCTGTCTCATGCAATGTACTCATCTCTCCTCAGTGGATTCAGGCAAGCCACAGAGTTTGTAAATTATGGCCAGGGTTGGTAAAATTCTTTATTAAAATTCCAAGTAGCTAAATGAATTCTGAGGCTCTAAGGAAAAATAATTTCCTGGGCTGGGGCCCACCATGCAGCACTGTTAAGCCTGACTTACCTTACAGAGATTTCAATGTGTCAAAAAGTAAACCAGAGTTGATCAAATTCTGTCCATCTAATCTCACTTTTCCTGCTCTTTCCTAGGAGTGAAAGTGGATGGCTGAGTAATTATTTCTGTAATTATTTCTAATTGTCTATCTTTGGAGCTACCATTGATTGTCAATACTTCCATGCATTATTATTTATTAAATAAAATGTCAATGTAAATACCATATCTCTACTTTGTAGATGAAGAAAGGAAGAACCCAAGGGATTAATTTTCCCATTGACTCACTGCTATTAAGGACTACAGACTGAATTAAAACCTAAATTTAAGGTGGTAAAGTAATTTTTTAAAGGGCTAAGATACATCTTACTTAAAACATATGCTCTTACTCTGCCTCTAGAATTCCTCTTCAGGAAATTCATCTCACCCCTACTAAATCTCTTGTACTAACACACATTTCTGACCACAGACAATCTAATCTCATTAGTGAGAAAGCAATACTTCAATTAATCTTTATAATTTCATATTTTATTTTAACCATAAAACAAGATTATTAGAATTGCAAAAAGTGCCTATCTAACCTACAATATTTGAAGTTCTTTTTTCCATAGTGAATTGTTCAGATTGATTTGTCATTCAATGAGATTAATGTGGTTATTCAGAGATAAAATCCATTCTTCAATTTTTAAAGTTCTTTCCTTCTCTATTTCTAAGAAAATGGAGAATGAGCCCACTTGAATATTTCAATTGCAAAGAGAAAATCTCTGTATTCCTTCAATATGGGATCTCAACCACACCTCCATTCCCAATTTCAGTCTCAGAATGCTCTGAAAGATATATACTGTTGCTATTACTTCTATCTTTTAGTTTGATTAAATCTGAAAACCTTCACTTAGTTGCCCCCATAACTCCCCTGAAATATCTGACAGCAAAGACCTTTTCCAACCAAATCGTAGTCTTTTTGTCTAATCAATCTCTTGCTCTGTTGATACTGTCTCTTATTCTTTTCCTTGTGAATTCGTAACATGATTTCTCTGGAGCTATACATTGGTGGAATCCTTCTACCTCTGCGGTCATTCCTTCTGTAATTCTTTTACAGTCACAGCAACTAATTTCATGCCCTTTACAGAACAATTATAAACAAAGCAAAAACAAGAGAATATGCCAGGCGCGGTGACTCAGCACTTTGGGAGGCCGAGGCAGGCGGATCATGAGGTCAGGAGATCGAGACCATCCTGGCTAACACGGTGAAACCCCGTCTCTGCTAAAAATACAAAAAAATAGCCCGCCGCGGTGGCGGGCGCCTATAGTCCCAGCTACTCAAGGCTAAGGCAGGAGAATAGCGTGAACCCGGGAGGCGGAGCTTGCAGTGAGCCGAGATCGCGCCACTGTACTCCAGCCTGGGCGACAGAGCGAGACTCTGTCTCAAAAAAAAAAAAAAACAAAACAAAAACAAACAAGAGAATAAGCAGAGAATGGATATTCGTAAATATCTGAGACCAAGTTATATAAATAGCAAAGTCATTCAGACTGGTCTCTGGAGTTAGACTAATCAAATAACAGTTCCGGCACTCCTACAAGCCTTCTGACATTCAATCATGCAATCACCATATACTGAGACCTACAATGAATCAGGCATAGGGTATTGGATATGTAATCGTGGACAAAACAGTTGGGTTATCTATGATAGATTATTTTGTCTGCCATATATTTCATTTTTCTCTGTGGTGCCATCCCTCTAGGTGGATTATATATACCCATCCTGTTGTATTTAGGACAGGTCATGTGGCTTGCTTTGGCCAATGAAACATGGGCAGAAGTTCAAAAGCCCTTGTGTGGTTCCACATCCCTTCTCCTTCTGCTATGGCAATTGGCAATGTTCAAGGTAGCAGCTGTTTTGTTAGACTGATCCCAGAGTAAAATCTAAGTGTGGCAGAAGAGCACCACACTCACAATGGGCATGCAGTATGAGTGAGAAACAAACTATGTTGGGGTTTTTAAGAAGCCACTGAAATTTGGGGGTGTTTTATTATTGCAACCTATGCTAGCTTATCCTTGACTAATACTATCCCTGACTTTGTTGAGCTTATGGTCCAGTGGAAGAGACAGGTATTAAGCAAATAACAACGCAATAAATATAATATCTCTAAGCTTCCATTTCTTTACCTGTATAATAACATCTGCCTCCTGAGTTTGTTGCATGGATTTTAAAAGGCAATGTATTTGAAGATTTTTGTTATTTTATATATATATATATATATGTGTGTGTGTGTGAATATATATGTATGCATATATATATATGTATGTATTAAACATTCATTGTATAATAAGCCCTTAGCTAATTGAGAAAGGCGTGGTTCTGGCCTTTGAGAATCTCCTAATATTTATACAGAAGACACACACAAGAAAATGAAGAATTACAGTTCTGTACATGTGACGCTGGGAACACAAGAAAGGAATAGATTACTCTGCCAGGTAAAAGGGAGCCCATTAAAGGAAAAGAAAAAATTTTCTCCAGAGACAGGGACAATAGGAAGAAGGAGGATGGAAGAGAAAAGAACACAAGAAATAGAGCAAAAGCATGAAAAGATCACAGCTCTCTAGGAAAATTACAAGTAATTTAATAAGGTTGAAGAATAGAATGCAAACAGGAAAAGAACAATACACAAGAAAAGACATTTAGGCAGAGTCCTGAGCAGGAAAAGCTTAGAGTGCCAGGCCCATAGTTTGGTTTTGTGACATAGAAAGTGGCTGAAGAATTTTAAGTGTGGAAATAACTATAGCTAGATTTGCAGGCTAGAAATATCCCTTGGAAGGCATTGTTGAGGGTGGAAGAGGTTAGAGCAGGGAATAATTAGAAGGCTGCTGAAGGATTCTAAATTAGACATGATGAGGGCAAAATCAATAACAGTGACAGCTGAGCAATGAATTTAGCTTTTTTTTTGACAACTAGAGCAGAAGAGGCCCTATATTTGTATCTGATAAAAGAAATTTTACAAGTTTATCTGAAGAAACATTTTCCTGAGGTGTTAATTTTTTAAGAATAAAAATAATGTGTGTGTCCTTGTAAAATATGTAAATCAAGTAACACAATGAATATCATCTTCAATTATAATTTTACAGAAGACATTTTTGAAATATATATTTTTGTGAGATTATAAATTATTATACATAATTGTTTTTGAAAATACAAGGAAGTCTAAAGATGCAAACAAAATGGATAAATCTATGACTAAAAGATCATTAATTAATCTTCAATTTTTAGGGCGTATGCTTCTAGCTCTTTTCATTCATTCATGATGTACAAAATACATACACAATCCTATAAAAACCAAACAACGAATTTAGATATAGAGTCTGGTCAACACATCAATAAGAGTTGCAATAATAAAGGGAGGGACTAGAGTTTGACCTGCGACAGTAAAAATAAATAAATAAAAACCACTTCATGTGTACACAGCAGTGAGTTGGGACCCCATCAGCAAGCCATGTATGTACTGACATGTACATGTAAATTTAGAGTTACAGAAGAGTCTTGCTTTGATACTTAAGGCTCAGTCCTTTCATTTTCAAATTTCAATCTTCAACCTTAAATTTAAAGCTCTTCCATTACCCTGCCACCAATGAAAGCTACACTTGGGTTCCCTGTCAACAAGGTTCTGAATGCAAGAAGCAGCACCCTTACATACTGCCTCTTTTCTCTTAAAGGCTAACTCCACCAAAGACAGGGAAGAGAAAACGAATAAATCTCTCCTAACTTAACTGGGAGAGATTGTCACCCTCTTATGATTATTTTCCTGGCTCTTGGTTCTCTGCTTAACAATTTCACACTGGCTTTAGATGCCTCCTGTGTGGCAGGCAGGCATCATGAGGACACCCTTTTAATTGGGCCCACTCCTCACAAACATTGTGCACCCCCAAAAATTACCATTTCTGTGCAGTACATAGTAAACTTTGTTCACAGTTTTGAACCTCAGCTACAAGTCTGGAGCACAAGAATCATCTCACTTAATAATACTTTTTTACAAATATGTTTATGAATGTATTTGTGTTGGCTTTGTTACAAAATTATTTTTCAAAATTATAATTTTATAAAAATGCTTTTTACAAAACTTATTACATAGAAGCTGCTTACAAAATTCGAATTAAAACACACATATAGTATTGTATCTTGTTTTTATCTAATTTATACTGTATCATATTAATTTTCCCAAATCAACAAATACTCTTCAAAAAATGATTTTCATGGCTTTAATAGTAAGTAGCATAATATCCCCATATTAGATAATAAGGCTGTTTTGCTTTCTTTGTCCATTATAAATAGTGCTTGACTAACATCCTTGTTTATAAATCTTTGTGATGAAATCTGTGATTGCTTCCATAGATTTTATCATAAAATCAAAATTGAGTATGAACCATTTTATGGTTATTGATACAAATTGCCAATTTGCCTTTGGGGAAAATTGTACCAATTTATATTTCTACTCACAGTTTAAAGGTCCTTTCACTAAAAATTCTTCAAAACTGGCTATTTTTCCTTCTGAAACCTTTTATGAATTATCAATTCGGTAGCAGCAACCTTGCTTTAAGTTGCACTTATTTGGTTACTATGGAGAATTAATATATCTTCAAGCGTTTATTAGCTGTCAAGGGTTGAGATAATTAATTGTACTCACCACCCCACCCCAAAACCAAATCTCTCTATCTCTCTCTCTCTCATACACACACACACACACACACACACACACACACACACTGCATTAATAATCACTAAAAACAGAAACAGGAATCACACTGATTTTAAAAAATAGCTTTCTTAATGTTTAGGCTGATCAGAAAAGAATACTTGACTTTTGATAACACTTGGACCTTCCAAGATTCTTCTAAAACTGAAACACAAGCAGCTGAGGTGCATCTATAGGAAAAGAGAAAATTGAGAAAGAGCCGAGCCAAGCAGTTGTTATTTTTTTCTCACCAATTATTAAGATCAGTTAGCTTAGGATGGAGTCAGAAATGAGGAAACGGAACAAGGTACTGTAGCTGAAGTCCTTTTATGTAAAAACTTGAGGCAGGTGAATATGGTTCCTTCCTTATATAGCAATATGTATGAATCCTTTTACTGATTGCTTTTATATACTTTGTCCAATATTCTTTGAAGAGAGTAGGATTGTTATTATTGACTGATAAGTGCATTTTATTTAATAAGAATGTATCTTTGTCATATATGATCAAATGTTTAGTTCAGTTTAAATTTTTTTAGCTTCAGGACAAATTTTATTGAACAGAAACTCCTAATTTTACAATTGGTTTCTCAATGAACCTTTTTTTAAAAATAAACTTTTTTATTTTCAAATCATTTTAAATTTACAGAAAAGTTGTAAAGATAGTACAGAGTTTCCATACACACTTCAGCCATTTTTCCACTAAGGTCCTTTTACCATTCCAGCATCCAATCCAGGATACCATGTTGCATTTATTCTCAGTTTAATTTTTAATTTTGGTTGTATTTTTTCTCACTTACAGAGCCAACAGTACTCAATTTCTATTCCCAAACTGAACTACCATTTGATAAATAATTGTGTTGTCTCGTGACTTGAAACACCAACTTAATCATCTATATGGCTTCCAAATTTATATATCTTAAATTAAATTTCTTCAAAAGCAGAGATGTAATATTTATGTTGGCTCTTAAAGCACAAGTTATGCTTGCTTAAAAATGTGTGTTGAGGGTGGGGGGGAGGGGGGAGGGATGGCACTGGGAGATTACCTAATGCTAGATGACGAGTTAGTGGGTGCAGCGCACCAGCATGGCACATGTATACATATGTAACTAACCTGCACATTGTGCACGTGTACCGTAAAACTTAAAGTATAATAATAATAAATAAATAAATAAATAAATAAATAAATAAATAAATAAATAAAATGTGTGTTGAATGAAGAATTAATGAACACACTTTTGCTGGGAAATGCAATAATTTTTGCATAGCCAAGCACTTTCTAATTACCTAGAAAAATCAAGCTTTTCCATAACTAGGTATTTACTCAAGACAAATAAAAACATATATCCATGCAAAAACTTATACAAAAAAAAATTTGTAGCTGGTATTTTTGTAATAGTTTACACCTGGGAACAACCTAAATGACAATCAACAGGTAAATGTATAAAGACATTTTGCTATATCCCATACAGCAATAAGAAAAAAAGCATCCTTTGAGTGACAGAAACAAAAAAAAGCAGATACTATATGATTCTATTTATATAAAATTATAACAACTAAAACTAATTCACAGTGAAAGAAAGCAGATCAGTGTTTGCCAAAGGATGGGTTAGAGAGAGGAATGGACAGCAAGGAGGCACCAGGAAACTTTCGAGAGTAATGGAAATATCTTGATTGTGGTGTTTTCATAATTGAACACATTTGTCAATAGTCACTAAATTGTAGCCTTTTAAATGAGTTTAACTTATTGTACTTAAGCAGTATCTCAATAAAGTTTCTTTTAAAAAAAAGCATTACAGAAGGTGCACAAAATAATCCATTGGTTATAAGAATATATATATTACATTCATCTTTTATCAATGTATTTCATCTTCATAAATTTCTGTTTTCACATATTCTCTACAGCATCTAAACATATGTACATATAATAAGATGATGTGACTTAAATATTGTTATAAGGATGAGGGAGCAAAAGGATTTGAAGACTACCAGTCCAGCCAGCTAGAGGAAGAGTGCTGACACACACCCTGAGCTGTTTCCATCAACCAGCAGCTGCCTCGGGCAAGGCTTTGGCAAGCAATGTGCTGTAGTCAATTCACGACTGAATTTTCTGTCAAGTGCCCAGAGTGCCCCAGCCCTTCTGTTCACCTGGCTCTCGACTCTGGGTAATACCCAAAGCTCAAAACTTGGACTTCTTCACTGTTCTCTTTTTAGTCTAATAATTGGCTTAAAGCTCACATACACTCAGGGCTTCTATTATCAGCATAACACTGAAGACAAACAAATCTATATTCCAGATCTCTCAACTGTTGTTTTTTTTTTTTTTTTTTTTGCCGCAGTGCCTACTGCCTATTGGACACATTATTTTTCAAAGCTACATTCTAATTCAAATTCAGTATTTCTAACCCCATAGCTTCACAAACCAATTTCTTCTCCTACTCTTGCACTGCTGCCAAAGAAAAAAATACCCTGAAGTTATCCTTGATTCATTTTCCTCTTTTACTTTAAAAATCATAATTTCTACCCATTTGCCATTAAGGTCTTAATTTACCTATCTCATCTATCTGTAGCAGTGATTCTTTGAAACTATAGAGGACCCCCTCCTCAGAAAAACTACACTGGCACACATTTTTCATACTATTTTGAATATGATTTCCAGGGCCCACAATGAAAATGTATAGATCTCTATATTGTTCACTTCTAAAATCTGTTTACTCTGATCTGGCTTTTTCCTGAGAGTTCCAGACCACCTTCCAAATACTTTTCAGATAGGTATTATTTTATATGGCAAAAATATCTCAAACTTGCACGTTCAAAACTCAACATGCCATTTCCCCCAGCAAAACTGTATCTTTTTCTTAGTCTTTCTTTAGTGAATGGCAATTCAATTCCCCCAATTAATTAAAATAGTAACTTGCATATTACTGTTGACTTCTTTCTCCCTCCGTATACCTCTCACATCTAAATGGTAATTATAGTGACCTCCCACGATTAGTTAAGTGGCATGCATTTGACAAAGTATTAACAACCAACCCACCATATATGCTTACATATTTTCTGTATGAATTTAAATAAGTGACTCACTCCTCTACAGGTGAGCAGCTAATAAACCAAACCCTCAATACCTCATTCCTGAACTCCCTCGGTAGCCTCCTAACTCTCTGCCTGTTCCCAATCTCGTTCCAGTTTTAGTATCTCCCAACATGTCTTAGAATAGATTTAGGTATTCCCTCTCCAGCCCCTACAGAAACTTTAGTGTCCTTATCTTCATTCTTAAGGTTTTGTATTCCTGGGGCAACTTTTCCAGGGCTGTCTAGGACCCTTAGAAAGCAGTTGACAGGCAAATAGAAATAAAGAAGCTAGAGAATAATTGTTTAAGGTGTTATACTCTCTCCCAACCCCTGCCCAGTGCTATCTATTTGTGTTTTCATGGAGACTTTAGAATAGAGCTTCTCAACCAGTGCATTTCTATACATAATATCATATAGGAGGCTGAGACAGTCGTCCCCTCAGTCCCTAGGATAGGCATGTAATTCCTAGAACCACAAACAGCATTATCTATGTAGTTCAGTATTTACTACAAATATTAACATTCCAAAGTGTGCCAATGGATGAAAAAAATAATTGAGAGGCATTTAAAACACAGAAAGTCCCTCCAGTATCTAAAAACAATGAATTTCCACCCTGACATTTTACTGTCTTGGAAATTTAATGCCACCAACCTATAGTTAAAACCTACATGATTATGGCCAATTACATTTGGAAGGGATTTGTCCAAGTTGGCCCTGGATCAGGGAGAGCAGCAGCAGGTGAGAAATGCTGCCTTTGAGCAGCTGATGCAACCCAGGTGTGGCAGAGCATGGAGGGCCATACCCTAAGAAGGAGACCAGCAGAGAAACTGAAACAAGTGAGTAACTAACCTACAAGAGGACCCAGAAATTTAGAAAAGGAACTCTCAGAGCAGAAACTGAAAGCCAAGAACAGAACCCAAAATTGAGTCAGAGGAAATGAGGCAAAAGGTCAGACCTCGGGGAAGGAAGCTAGAGATGCCAAATCAGCAGAAGGCTGAGGGCTGAGGTCAGGGATGAGTCAATTCATCTGCTCTCAAAGCCAAAAGAAGCCCTAGCCCTTGAGCCACCACAAGGGTTAAAACTTCTTTAGTGAAATGAAAGGAACTAAGCTTAATTCCTCACTGAAACCTCAGTACTACAATATGTTAATTTTGTCTTTTAATGGTCCTGGGGTTTTTTTTGGTTTGTTTGTTTGGCTTTACTTTTTCCCCCTAATTTCCTCATTTACCTTCTGTATATTTTATATTTCATGTAATTTTTATTTAACGTTAATGAAACAGCAGCTTTCAAGTTGTCTTAGGCAGACAAGAAATTTTTTTCTAAATTTATTGAAATAAAAGTATATGTAAATTATGTCATAATATAAAGAGAAAATCCAAGCCACCTTACTATCATTAATATTAATATTATTTGTATTACTAGTAGCTATCATGTACTTAACTTTGTAACCTTGTGTCTTGTACTATGCTAGATGACTTTATATGTTAACTCACTCCTCACATTATCCACAGGAGGGATTATTAGTCACAAACAAATGAGGAAATCAAATAGGTCAAAAATTTTTCCATGATCCTATAACTAATAAATGGCAGGAATGAGATGTAAACCTGTGATGTGTCTGATTCTTAATTACTGCACTCAGCTCTATTTTATTTAAAATATGCTTATTTAAATATGACCCACATAAAATGGGTCATTTGCTTAATGAACATCTGTCAAAGCACAGCTGGGTATTAAGTACTTTTCTAGGTGCCCTTGGGGCAAAAGAAAAAGGAGAATCTGACATAGCCAAGCCTTGAGGATGCTCAAGTTAAGTTTGAAGACAAGACGTAGTCCATGAAATACAACAAAAATTAGTCCAAAGTCATAGGTAAGCCTTCAATTTGAGCCCTGAAGATACTATTTCTCAGCATATGACCCTGAGCAAGTTATTCTTATTGTGTAAAGCTGAGATCATAATGATATGAGCCTCATGGGGTGTTCTAAGGATAAGATGAGATAATGTAGACCATTAGTTTTCAACTTCAGGTGATTTCCTCTCTGACAAAAGATATTTGATAATGTCTGAAGCATTTTTGGTTGTCACAACTGGGTAGGGGGAAAAGAGAGTGTTGTTTGCATCTAGTTGGTAGAGGCCAGGGATGCTGTTAAACACCCTGCAATGCACGAGACAGGCTGTCTCCCAAACAGGGAATCATCTGGCCCAAAGTATCAATTGCACTGGGGTTGAGAAACCCTAACGTATTCGAAGCGTTTAGCAGAATCCTAAAGGCATTTAGTAGTAGATCCTCCACATTAACTCACTATATTTGCATGAAAAGGGGGTAGCACTTATGGCATTTATGTACTTAAGAAAAGAATTAAATAGAAAATAATTGTAAATATTAATAATAATTTTAAAATATAACCCTTTAAGAAAAAGTCTTACAAGTCAATGTGGTAGGTAAGAGCATAGGCTTTGGAGTCAGATAGACCTAAGTTTGAATCCTGGCTCTGTGTAATGCTGAAAAAAGTATTAATCTGAACCTCTCCATTTCTTCATCTTTAAAATGAAAATAAATATATCTAAGTTATATACCTGGAACATACTGAAACTCTCAATAAATATTTTTAAAGTTTTAACATACTGAGTCTTAAGCAGGCACTAGAAAAAGTATAGACTTTGGGTTGGTGAAAGAAAAAAAACAAGTCAGCCCTCGCTATATAAACTTAAGCAAATTACTTGGCTGAGGCTTAATGTTTTCATCCTCAAAATTAGTATAATAATGCTTTCATCACAAGGTAATAGTAGGAATTAAATGAGACTGCATTTAAAGCATTTCCTAAGATGCTTGGCACATGGTGAGTGCTCAATAAATATTAGTTACCTTCCTCCAGAGGAAAAAACAAAATCTTTATAAAGGTACTTAGGTCAAAATAAATAGCAAAAATTACCTTTGCTAGAGCAGAAAGTGTGGACTAAGGACTTTTGGAATATCCCATAATTTATCAACACTCCACCTTGGAGAAGCCCTGTTTCTGCATTTGAAAGGGAAGCTATACACTGCCTGTCCTTTTCACTGCCCACCAGCTTTCAACAAGCATCCTTCTTTTGGCCTAGGAATGTCACTGTGGCTTATCTAGGCTGAAAGAGAGTGCAGCCCTTGGCTGCAATTACTGGAAGAATAAAAATTCAATTCTTGAACTACAAATTTAACTGCATTTTAAGAGCACCAAAAAGATCCACAGCAGAAACTATTCATAAATAAGTTAAGCACAAGGCATGATTTATCAAGATATTTGTCATTCTATCTCTAAAAATGATCATTAATGCTGCTTTTATGACCATCTCTGAAAATCAGTTTGTCAGGCAGTAATACCAGAAACAAAATTACTCATTCAGTGACTGACTTCCTAGTCAAGACAGATGATATCTGAAAGTATAATAAATGCTATTTCAGAAAGTGCAGTTTAAATTTCAACAAAAATAAGAAAATAACCATAAACTATCCAATTCCAAGCTATGAATGCTAAAGCCTCTTTAAATATCCTATATCATGTACTTAAGATAATTTCCCAATCAAATGAAGGCAGTGTTTAGATCTCCTCATTTATGCTAATATTTCAATATGAAAAATGAGTCCATATACAAATGGAATATAAAATATAACACATATAACTTCACTAGTCTAAATGGCTTAATGAGTGTATTTTCCATTTGAAATTATATGTTTGCTGTCATTTGGCAAAGCTGACGATCTCATGGCAATTCTATAGGTTGTTTTTGATGCATCTTCTGAATTCGTTTTGCAATTTTTTTTTTTTTTTTTTTTTTTTTTTTTTGTGAGATGGAGTCTCACTCTGTCACCCAGGCTAGATTGCAGTGGTGCAATCTCAGTTCACTGCAACCTCTGCCTCCCAGGTTCAAACAATTCTCCTGCTTAAGCCTCCCAAGTAGCTGGGATTACAGGCCCGTGCCACCATGCCCAGCTAATTTTTGTATTTTTAGTAGAGACGGGGTTTCATCATGTTGACCAGGCTGGTTTCGAACTCCTGACCTCAAGTGATCCACCCGCCTCAGCATCCCAAAGTGCTGGGATTACAGGCATGAGCTACCACGCCCAGCCCATTTTGCATTTCTAAAGACTAAATATCTACCCACACACCACATAACATGTTCAAAAAACAATTCCACTTTCTGTTATTCTGTTAAAACCTAAACATATTGTAAAAGCCTGATCTGTGTGTCCAAAAAATGAGCTACTCTTAAGTTGTCTTTTTCTGAGAAATAGAAAATAACAACAATCATGTACTAGAAGCATTCAACTGATTATATGTCCCTCTAAACACAAATCAGCCATAACTGAAAAGGTTCTACCCTTTACCAAGTACAGGATACACATAGAAACCTTTTGTACTACCCACATTCATTTCCAATGCTTTCCAATGCTATTAAATTTCCTACTACATGACACTTGTCAGGTCCCACCACATCAGAATTCCAAAAATTTCAGAGGGCCCCCACTGCCATTAAGATAAAGATCCCCCTCCTAAAACTCACTTTCATATGCTCAAAGTTCACAGTGTGATCTCAGCCCACCTTTCAAACACGTCCTCCCATTCCTCACCTATGTGGAAAATTGTCTAGACTTACTATTCCCTCACTATGCCTTATACTGTCTGCCTTCAAACATTTATGCTCTTCCAGCTGAGGATAATGGCTCATGCCTGTAATCTCAGCACTTTGGGAAGCTGAGGCAGGAGAATTGCTTGAGACCAGAAGTTCAAGACCAGCCTGGGCAACGTAGCAAGACCCTGTCTCTACAATTTCTTTAAATTAGCCAGGTGTGGTGGTGCATGCCTGTAGTGCTAGCTACTTGGGAGGTTGAGGCAGGAGGGTCACTTGAGCCCAGGAGTTGAAGGTTATAGTGAGCTAGAATTGTACTACTTCACTCCAGCCTGGGCATCAGATCAAGAGTCTGCTTCAAAAAAAAAAAAAAAAAAAAGTGTTTGTCTACCTACTTGATGGACCCAACACTCCCTTTAATCCTCACTGACTCAAAGCCCTACTTACACTTCACCTACTTATTGCCCCTAGGCCATCCTGTCTCTGGGACTAGATGAGGATTATACAGTCTAGAGGTCGATGCTCTGTATTCACGCAGACACTATGGTCAAAGTAACAATAACTGTGGAACCTGAAAGGCATCCAGCTACTTTGGGAAGGTAACAAAAAGGATCTCCATGAAGGCTAAAGGGCTTAAATCACAGAGTTCTCCAAACCTTCCAGGTCTCCAAAGCAGTAACTACTCCTTTCCTGACAGATACCTTCTACTGACACCAACCAAGGGGCCACTCCAGCTGCCCTGCCCACTCCAACCCTACTTGGGCAGCTGCTTTCTCTCTCAGAGGACACCACATCACATTGAAAAGTTCGTTAGGCTCATGAGTAATTAAAGAAAACCAATTGAAAATAGCCAAGAGACCGTTTTTCTCTCCTCACATTGACCAATGACTTGACAAAATCGAGAATTAGAGGGATATGAGGAAATGGGATTAGAGGGATAGGAGGAAACTAGCACTACAATCGACAGTTGGTGAAACCATACATTGGTATACACTTTCTGGAAGAAAAGTTTATGTCAAAAAGCCTTTAAATTGTGTATAGCCCTTAACTCAGCAATTCCAAACATTTATACTGGGATACTTATTAAAGCATTGGTAAATTCCAATAATTAAAATGAAAGTGATTTGAATATTCATCATTAGAGAATGGATTCAATAAAGCATAGTACACTTATTCAATAGAATACAATACAGCCCTTCATAATGATGCGAGAAATCGATTTTTTTACTCAATTTTGAGTGAATACATGCAGTTATAGAACGATGTGTATAATATAATTGTGAATCTGTGAATCTATGCAGAGGGACAGCTGGAGAAATGTTTCCCACTGCTTCTAGACATGATTCTCTGAGGTACCTGCAAAGGGGTGCCTGAATCACAAATGTGGTTCTCTTTATGATTTGATCATCTCCCAGGTCAGGTGAGTTTTCTAGCAGATGTGCTGCTGTTAGAGGTAAAAGGACCCCAGGGATTCTTGCCATTTCTGTTTCACTTTAAGAAAATTCAAGTTTCTCTTTACCTTGCAATTAAGGTACACAGTAGAAGAGTAACTATACACAGAACAATATGTAATATGTGAAAGAAAATTTGTTTTTAAAAGATAAGAAATTTTTAGAGGATTAATCCTGATGGCTCAGCATCTAAATACCATGTATATTTTCCAATTACAGCCCTGAAATCAGGATATGCCCTACAATTGACAGTATTTTACAACTGCCGTCAGAGAGATAGCAGTAATGAGAGTTTGGTCACAAGGAAATCTAAGAAACAATAATGGAGCATCCTTTAACATCTAGAAATCATATACCTGTAATGAAGAGATAGGATCAGTGGGGAATCAAGCATGTTTAACAACATCCCCAAAGCAGGAATCACAAGGCAAGCTCGATCAACATAATTGCTAAGCATCTTTTCAGGACCAGCTCTACTGATGGTACATAAAGTGGAACTGCATGGATAAACACAGATATTAGTGACTCAGGATTCTGAAGAGACGGATTCAAATGTGAATTTAAAACTCTGAAAGTGAATCAGTTTTTAGAATAACTCATCTAAGCTATTTTAGTATGTGTTCTTTTGTTATGCATTCATGGGAGAAATATATCATATATTTTATATTTAAGTGTAAGCATGTTCTTTCAATAAAAATAAAATTAATTGTGTAAGTGATTAGAAAACACTGTTTACAGTTTCATTGCTAGTATTTTTTCTTAGTCATACATAAAATAATTGTGTACCTTACAATCAAAAACAAGCATTATTTTATGTATCACTAAGAAGTAATAGAAATTCTAGAAAACAGAACCAAGAAAACCAAATGAAATAATTTAGCACTAATATAGTGCTAATGTTAGCACTTGTTTCAAAGTCATGTCAGAAGGTGTCAATAGAATGTTTTTTACACAACCAACTCATGATTGACATCTGGCTTTTATAAGACACCATCGATTAAAGGTGCATGTTGATCTGAGATGTTAAATAATGGGGGAAAATTGACTTCAGAATTAATAAAATTGATAATAGAAGAAAAACTTCCAGAACTAAAGAAGAGTACAGTATCCAGAAAGAAAAGACCCACTGAGCTCCCCCACCAAAATTAGAAATGACCTGCACCCAGGTACATAATCTTGAAATTTCAAAAT
Organism: Homo sapiens; assembly: GCF_000001405.40. Lineage (NCBI taxonomy): Eukaryota > Metazoa > Chordata > Mammalia > Primates > Hominidae > Homo > Homo sapiens. The sequence continues at coordinate 65,805,906 of NC_000001.11, read as the reverse complement.
TTTCAAGGAGAATGAGATGATGTTAAAAAGCTTCAAATGAGAAAAAGACTTCACATTTAAAGGATCAAGATTCAAAATAGCATCAAACTTCTTAATGGCTAAAATGACAGCCAACAGACATGGAAATATGCCTTCAAAATTCTGAGTAAAATGGCTTCCTAGAATTCTACATCCACAAGGTGTAAAATAGAAGAAAAACATTTCCAGATGTAAAACATTTCAAAAGTTCTACCTTTAAATACTCTTCCTTAGGAAGATATTGGAAGATATGCTCCACCTATCAATACAAAAGATTAAACCAAGAAACAGGAAGATATAAAAATCAGGAAACAAGGAATCTGCTGTAGGAAAGAGGTTTAAAAAAAAAAGCTGCACAATGATTGTACTGCAGATACTATTAGCTATCCACAAAAATATCTGCTTTCTTTTCTTTAGACACACAGCTTAGATAAAATATCCCAGTCTCTCTTTCAATTAGGTTTGGCCATAAGACTGAGTTCTAAACAATAATATAAATATAAAGGATGTGTGCCTCTTCCAGGACACCATAATATTCACCCACTCTTTCTCCACCATGCTCTGTCAGAATGGAGTTGGTCATGACATCTTTGAAATCCATGTACTGAAAAGAGACATGCCCCTGGCCAGGAGCAGTGGCTCACGCCTGTAATCCCAGCACTTTGGGAGGCCAAGGTGGGTAGATCACCTGAGTTCAGGAGTTCGAGACCAGCCTGGCCAACATGGCAAAACCCCATTTCTACTAAAAATATAAAACTTATCCAGGCTTGGTGGTGCACGCCTGTAATCCCAGCTACTCGGGAGGCTGAGGCTGGAGAATCACTTGAACCCTGGAGGCAGAGGTTGCAGTGAGCCGAGATCGTACCACTGCACCCCAGCCTGGAAGACAGAGTGAGATTCAGTCCTCCCACCCCCCACCCACCCCCCCAAAAAAAAAGATGTGCCCCTTAAATATGTTAACATATTGTGTATCAATTAAAATTAATAATAAAGTCTATTAATTAAGGAATTTTTAAAAATAAGCACCTCTACTCTAAGGTCCCTGGGTGACTACAAGAAGCAGAGCAGCCACGACATGACTCACCTGAAACAGCAGGTCAGAGAGCTCCCACTTCCTCCTCCCAGCCCACCTGGAATAGCTCAGTATCATTACATGACCAAGAAATATATTTCTGTCATGCACAGTGGAAGAAAATTATCCATTTGGAAAATGACAGCTGGACCTCTAGTGGTGTTTGGCAGCCACAATTCCCCTATTCCCCTCTTCATTTCTCCCCTATCTTCTCTTAAGAATTCCCTACTCTCTAATTATTGCTGCTACTGCTACTACCACAGTGCTTTAGGCCAAGGGGAACTACTTCCTGTCCAAAACACTTGCCTGAATTTAACCTCCCTCTTAATTTTCATAAGACAGCCAAGACAATTAAACAAGACTTTCTAATGACTTGGGGTAAAGCAAAAAGAGATAAAATAATGTTGACAATCTGATTTACAAAGTATGACGTGCTCTCCTTAACTAACCACCTTTGTTCCTTCTTAGCTACTGTCTCTTTAGCATACACCACTTGGAACCCCACACATTAGCATTGATCTTCAACAAATCAAGCAAGAGCATAAAGCACAGAGAAAAGCAAAGCTTCCTTCCTTGTACTTATTTCCAGATCACTTTTCACATGACAATTTCATGTAAACACTCATCACCATAAATTTGACATGAAAGAGACCCAGTATTTTTCCCACAGAGGTGTGACTTTCCCCTACGATCTCCATTAGACAAGTCCCCTAAGCATGCCTAAAAAGCCTAAAGAGGAAAATGATGTAGTTTAAAGACTGTTTCTTTACATGAAACAATTGAATAATTTTCCCAGTTACACAATTAAGTTAGTGACAAAACTAAGACACAAGCCTTGCTCCCTGGCTCAAAGTCAAGCATTATCAGCATATCATACAATTCATTTTCCCTAGTGACCAGCACATAGAAAGCATGACATTTGCCATGGTTAGAAATAAGGAACAACTTCCTATTTAAAATTTACTTTTCAAGAAATAAAAGCTGGCGTCCAAAGGGCTGACAAAAACCTTTACTGACAGTATTACAAAAGCCTTTATTGAAGATTTTTTTAGTAAAGCAGAACCTCATTGTTTCCAAGATATGGCATTGGAAGTTCCATTCTAGATTTAAGATTCTATTTCCAGCACTGGAATCGTACATTTTAATCCGAGTTTTCCCATCTCACAAACCATTTAAGAGACCCAAAGGACTTTTTATATCTGGGCAAAATCTATTACTATGTTGCATTATTCAAGAAATTGCCTGGCTTTGAAGCCCTTTCTGTACATTCTCTTCCCCTCACAGTGAGGTTTACCAGTGATATTTCAATGCAAGAACTTAAGAATATGTTGTTTTTATTGTTCTCTTTGAAAAACTTGTATTGAAGACCACACTCAAAATTCCTGGTTATGATACTCACTTTTGGAAATGATCACCCATCATCTTCTTTACACATTAATAATACTATTTATAGAATTTATATAACACCTTTTAGAGCGAATAATGCACTTCACATCCATTATTTCATTTGTCTTTATAACATCCTTTTGATGTGTGGTGAGAACAGTTGCCTCTCCCTATTTTAATGTGAAAAAACTAACTAGAAAAAGAAATCCATTAGCCTTGATGTGGATAAACAGCTTCTAAGTAGAGTGCCTACATCAATTGGAGAATAAACCTTCAATTATGAAGGATATTTTTGTCAATATCTTGAATGAGTATAGCAAAGTAGAAATGCTGAGATTAAGCCAAGTTTATTTTATTCTTTTAAAAAATATATTTGCTCTTGGATAATATTAATATATGTCATTAAAAATTTAGGGAAAACAAAAAAGCATAACATTTTATAAATAAATAGTACACAAATACATTTTATAAATAAATAATACATAATAGTACACAATAGTGTCACTATCTGATTTCTCAGAATTTCACACTTATATATGTCATCATTAATGTAGAAGGAAATTGTGACTTTTTTGCTTATAATTCCCTTAATAGCAATACTATCACTCAGTTTCATATATCAGTCAGCTCTCTTGACACAATGACAACTGATTAAAAAAATTAGATAATGAGGCAAATAAAAATTTATAACCATTTTAAACTATCATATCTTAAGAAATCTCCAGATTACAAATTTATGAGACAACACCGCAAATATTTTAAAAGCTGTAAAATATTTTCATATGCAATGACAATAGTGGTTTCCTACCCCATATCTATTTTCCCTTTTTTCATTATATAACAGAATCCTGACATTTTGGGGGAGGTACCAATTTTTCCAGACAACAATTAAAACACAAACAAACTATTTCTCATAATTCCTTGTACTTAGGTATGGCCATTGACATAGTTCTGGTGCATAAGATATTAGAAGTCTACCAGATGCAACTTCCCAGGAAGCTAATATTTTCCTTATTAAAAAGGACGGACTCAGCTGCTGTGTGCCTTGTGCCTGGCCACCTCTACCTGCCTGTGGTACAGATGTCATGCCTGGAAGCTTTATTAACTGTCTTTTCACCAGGAGAAAACTGGTGACACTTTCAACCAGGAGACACTAATTACAGTGGAGTCAAAAGCAGGAAGGAGCCCAATTCCTTCATAGTTTCCTCGGTTATTAAGAACTATCTTCCTGCTGACACTTTATGTTGTATAAAAAAAATAAACTTCTTGCTGGTTGTAGCATTGTATGTCAAATTATTGGTTACTCCCAAATGAATGCAATCTTAACTGCTATAATATTATCAACATATCCCAATTGAATCCTTCTTTTTCTCTTATCACACGGCTTAAAGCAAAAATTAATTCCCTGCACTAAGTCAGACAAATCCAAATGGAGAGTCTGTAGATTCCTTGTCATATGCACAAAATTATTTTCCATCTTTTATATCCATGTACTGCAAATTCCAACCTTCTTTCACCTTTACACTCCTCCTTTTAAAGTATTTCTCAGTTTGTGACAGTGTGAAGTCAGAAGAAATTTGGTGGAAACAAACTCACATTAAATAGTAAAGAGGGAAACCCACTTTGCTATACATTTTGCCTATAATCCAAATGGGGAAAACAATTATTTTCAAGACTCATTGGTATTCTTCAGCTGTATCCCTATCTTACCGAAGATTATGGCTAAGTAGGAGGTATGACTCACAGAAAGAGTTTTCTTAATATAAATTTTACCCATTGAATAAAATTTGAACTATTCTCTAAGCAATGCAAAACAGAGACTCTTGAAGTCTCATGCTATTCTTCATGCAATGAAAAATAAGATGAAAATTATACAAATTATCCAAAATTTTCACACCCAAACTTCTTCAAAATGAAAGTATTGGTACAAAGTACCCTAAGTTTCATATCCAAGGTCAGTAATTACATAGATCTGTAGACACTAATTTTATCCTTCAAAAATGTAAAATGTGAGGTCTTAAAAATTACTTCATGTATTCAGTTGGAAAAGTATTTTGCTGGAAGTAACAAATAATCTAACAAAATAGTGGAAGAAACAATTAAGGGGTTTATATTTTTCTCATGGAATAGTAAGCCTGGAGGTAGGCAGTGCAGGGCTGATACATCTTGAAAATGCCACCGAGGATCCAAGCTACATCTGTTTTGCCACTTCATCATCCTAAGCCTATGGATTTATTCCTCATCCTTGCAAGATGGCCACTCACAGGATCATCCATGCTCTATGGAGTAAGAAGGGGTAAGAGACAGGGGAAACAGACTTCGTTTTAAGAAGCTTTGTTCGAGAAGGGAAGTGCTCCCCAGAAGCTTTCATCTAATCTTTGTCATAGGGGCCATTGCTACCTTCAAGGGAGGCTGGAAAATTGAATGTTTTGCTTTCCAACTTGTATAGCAGAGGAAGATGAGAGAGAAAGGGGATGAATTGATATTCAGCCAATCTGCAGTATCTACCACACCTTCCGTCCAGTTAAATCTAGTGCCATCCATATTTGCATCATGACCGTTGTCATTATCATTTCAGCAAAATGTTTGTTCCCCAAATTGTGCTATGTGCTATACCCATATAGTTGGATAGTCTTAGCCCAACCGTGACCACTCTTACTATTGCAAATTCTGACCATATCAAGATATTATACTACTTTCAAATTCAAATATTAACTTCCTGGAGATCTTTCTTATGGATAATACTTAATTGCATGGGCCTACCACAAATTGTTTCAAATGTTTTGTCGAACAATATCCACTAATCTGAAGTTTCACCAAATGATAATGCTGGAAAGAACTTTAGAGATTATCATAAGCTGGCCTTATTTTATACCCTTAGGCTTACACACAGGATGTCACTGACCCAATAAATTGCATAGCAGCACTGGAACTCAGGACTTCCAATTCCCAGTCCTCACTTATTCAGTTACTAAAGTGTAACCTTGCAAATAGAAGTCCTACAAAGTGCTTTCTAGGGAAATTAACTAGAAAAAAACTGCCTCATTCTGTTATATCTTTTTGTACAACATTCCCATTTTTCTGCATTGAGTTTTTCACTCTGGTACACATCATGACACTGCAAAACAATTCAGTCTTATTTCTCATCCAGGGAGTTGTACTAGTCACAGAAGTGTATATAGGAGCTTCCTTTAAGTATATATAGGCAGTCTGCTTAAAAGTAATTTCAATACTGGCCTTGCCTCCTGATCTCTGAATTCAGTCATTATCATTCTATGGTTTTAATTTTTTTTAATCCATGATATAAGGAAAACATGGATGTGCTTTTGTTTTTACCCTTAGAAAAATCCCCCCAGTATATACAGCAGATGCTGCTTTAATCTTTCTTTTTTCAGCCCTTAACATTTGATATAGGTGAAATTGGTTTTAAATGACCACTAAAGCAATCTTATCAGAAAAAGAATGATCTCAAAAGGACACTGTTTCTCCATATAGTAAGAAGGTGAGAGCAGAAAGAAACAGATGGAGAATCTTTCTAAGGAATCTTAATATATGTTGTAAGTGTATGTGTGTGTGTTATGGGGGAGGAGAGAGCAAGCACTGTGGGCTGAGTTCCCTGTTTGTATTTCGCACAGTCAGTCTGTTTGAACACCTGCTGGTCCTGCTACATCCTTCTCACCTACTGCCACTCTAGAATCTGCAGGGAGACAAATCCTGCAGTATACCAATGTAGCATGCCCAGGACAACTGTCACCATCCACAGGCCTTTAAGGCTGACCCAGACTATAAAATAAGTCATTATCCCTATCACTTTCCCCAACAAAGACAATCCACAGTTAGTGCATGAGTATAACACAAAACAGTATCTGGAGGTCTTTCCTAGGAATCCATAAATACTTAATATTGAATGCAAATTTTTGACTATATGTTCATTTTTCTGGATAATTAATCCATATGTCCCTCAGATTTTCAAACAAGCCTATTTTTATTTAAAAAAATCATGTCCTCCCAACTTATTGAAGTAGTTTTTCTTGTTAAAAAAGGGGTACTGAGAGATTATACCTCAAAATAAATTTTTAATAAGCCTTCTCAAAGGAAGGCAATTCTGATTTCTTAAAGAAAATATCAAATTAGGAAATTCTAAGAACTCAGAATAAACAAGCCCTGCCATCACTGAACTGAAGGAACTTAGATTTCCTTATGGCTTTTTAACATGTCAGTTTTCTAAAATATAAAACAATAAGGTTGAAATAGGTGATCTCTAAGATCACTTTCAGTTCTGAAAATGCCATAATTCTATGAGTCAGCACTGTGATATACTAGGAGAGCCAAAGACAGAATCCTGGTATCTGCTCCTTAATCCATTCAAAATATCAGCAAGTTGCTTATGGAAATAATGTCATTTACTTTCTCTAAGGTTAAAGTGTCCACAGGATAAAGGATTTTTTAGCCTTTCCCACAAAGATGGCAATAAATAAGAAGTACTAATATTTTTCAAATGCATTAAGATAACTTGAAAAAAAAATGTTCCATAGAGTAAACGTCACATACCAAGATTTTTGTCTTAGACTCTACAGACAGGGTATGATTTGACATTTAATTCTGTAATTACAGTAATATTAATTAACTTAATTTAAATAAGCTATCTTGAACTAAGGTTTAAACTATGTCTCCACACCTAACAGATATATATTACAGGGAAATACAATCAAACTAGTATTTTCAATGATAGTAATGGATAATGTGGTTGAGGATTTAAACTAGAGTGTTTTTAAAAAGCCGGGTGCAGTGGCTTACGCCTGTAATCCCAGCACTTTGGGAAGCCAAGACAGGTGGATCACTTGAGGTCAGGAGTTCAAGACTAGCCTGGCACGGCCGGGCGCGGTGGCTCACGCCTGTAATCCCAGCACTTTGGGAGGCCGAGGCGGGTGGATCACGAGGTCAGGAGATCGAGACCATCCTGGCTAACAAGGTGAAACCCCGTCTCTACTAAAAATACAAAAAATTAGCCGGGCGCGGTGGCGGGCGCCTGTAGTCCCAGCTACTCGGGAGGCTGAGGCAGGAGAATGGCGTGAACCCGGGAAGCGGAGCTTGCAGTGAGCCGAGATTGCGCCACTGCAGTCCGCAGTCCGACCTGGGCGACAGAGCGAGACTCCGTCTCAAAAAAAAAAAAAAAAAAAAAAAAAAAAAAAGACTAGCCTGGCCAACATGGTGAAACCCCATCTCTACTAAAAAAAATACAAAAATTAGCCAGGTATGGTGTTACACACCTGTAATCCCAGCTACTTGGGAGGCTGAGGCAGAAGAATTGCTTGAACCCGAGAGGCAGAGGTTGGAGTGAGCCGAGATGCACCACTGCACTCCAGCCTGGGTGACAGAGCGAAACTCCATCTCAAAAAATAAATAAATAAATAAATAAATTTTTAAACATTTTTAAAATTAAAAAATAAAAATAATGCAAGGGGCATCCCAAGGAGGACTGAGAATGGTGGCAAGAGGGAAATGGACTGCTTAGTGACCTCTAGGCTGGAGGAACAGTAGAGCAATAGAGCAGTGGATGTCTTCCAACTCTCTATTCAACAGCAGATTACCCAGGCCCAGAGTCTCCCGACTCCTAACCTAGTAGTAGGAAATGATCTAGGTAGGCTCATTCCTTGTCTGCATCTAACTGGGGTCCATTTGACAATACTAGGTGGCCTCAGAGCACTGGCACCAGGAATCCTGCCACAAGTTCCAGGTCTAAGAATGCTCCTTATTTCTGCAAGGCTGAAAGTCACTTAGAGACACTTCTCTAACCTAGAGGCACAACAGGGCCTGGCCTGGGGAGGCTTCTTCTTCCCCTTCAGGTGGCACCAGCAGCGTTCAGTGGGAGCCCCGGAAGCACCAGACAAACCAGGCAGACTAACAGCACCTCAAAGCCTCTAGAAATTAAATTGTCATTGAAACCACTGCCCACAAAAGTAGGCCAGGATCTGTGTGTTACCCTAAACAGAGTGATTATCTGTTAAAATACAAGATTTAAATAGAAACCCAGAGCCTTCTAACACAATAGCTAAAATGTCCAAAATATGACCACAACTTGAATGAGAAAAGACAATCAAGTGACACCAACAATTAAGTGAATCAGATGTTGGAATTATCTGACAAAGATTACAAAGCATTTATTCTAAAAATGTTGGCCGGGCGCAGTGGCTCACACCTGTAATCCCAGCACTTTGGGAGGCCGAGGCAGGTGGATCACGAGGTCAGAAGATCGAGACCATCCTGGCTAACATGGTGAAACCCCGTCTCTACTAAAAAATACAAAAAAATTAGCCAGGCGTGGTGGCGGGCACCTGTAATCCCAGCCACTCAGAAGGCTGAGGCCAGAGAATGGCGTGAACCTGGGAGGTGGAGCTTGCAGTGAGTGGAAATAGTGCCACTGCATTCCAGCCTAGGCAACAGAGCGAGACTCCATCTCAAAAAAAAAAAAAAATGTTTCAGGCTAGACACGGTGGCTCAAGCCTGTAATCCCAGCACTTTGGGAGGCTGAGGCAGGCAGATCATGAGGTCAGGAGATCGGGACCATCCTAGCCAAAATGGTGAAACCGCTTCTCCACTAAAAATACAAAAAATTACCTGGGCATGGTGGCACGCACCTATAGTCCCAGGTACTCAGGAAGCTAAGGCAGGAGAATCGCTTGAACTCAGGAGGCAGAGTTTGCAGAGAGCCAAGATCATGCCACTGCACTCCAGCCTGGGTGACAGAGTGAGACTCTGTCTCAAAAAAAAAAAAAAAAAAAAAGTTTCAGCAAGCAAATACAAATTCTCTAGAAACTAATGAAAAAATAGAATGTCTCAGCAAATAAGCATAAGCTGCAAAAAGAACCAAATGGAAATTATTGAGTTGAAAAATATAGTAATCAAAATAAAATACTAGATGGGCTCTGTAGTAGAGAAGACAGAGGACAGAATCAGCGAACTTGAAAACAGACCAATGAATGTTTTCTATTTGAACAAAGAGAAAATACCAGAAAAAAAAATGATGAACCAAGCCTCGGGGTCTTGTAGGACAACAACAAAAGATCCAACTTTCATATCATCAGAGTCACAGAAGCAGATAAGAAAGAGAGTGGGGCTGAAACACTTTTGTGTTTGAAGAAATAATGCCTAAGAATCTCCCAACTTGGTGAAAGACAAACCTACATTTTAAAAACTTCATCAAATCCCAAACAGAGCAAACCAAAAGAAATTCATGCCAAAACACATCATAATCAAACTTCCAAAAAATGAAGATATAGAAAATATTCTTGAAACTCTCCAGAGAGAAATGACGCATTGTGTATAAGGGAACGTCAATTCAAACAACAACAAATTTCTCATTGAAACCAGGGAGGCCTGAAATGAAGTGACATAACATTTTTCAAGTGCTGGAAGAAAAAGAAACTGTCAACTATAAATTCCTTCCACATATGCATCTTCTATATCATATTTGATGGTTGAAACACCACATTTCAAAAGACCAATGGATTAAAACTGGCAAAATGAATGTATGGGGTAAGAACATAGTCACAGGTGGGTTTCCCTGGCAAGCTAATTCTGAAATGAAGTTCAAAGCCCTATTTTCTTGGGAACCGCCTTGTTATCCACACCTGAGGAAGGATGGGGAAGGAAACAGAAAGGACCAAAGAGAGAAGTAGAGCTGCAATGCAAGCCCTCAGGGAGCTCCAGAGCTAGAAAGATCCTTCAGAGTTTTCCAGAGTTGTGCTGCAATGGCCCAACCTTTATACTCCCACATGGATCAGCCATTGGATGTGAGCTGCGCTGGAAAGGGGTGTGACCTTGGACAAGGGAGCTTTCTACAGCTCAGGCAATCCCTGAAGAGTCTGACTATTGAAGGCCATCTGTTGACCACACTCCCAGAAGCTGGGGCAACAAGTCCCTCCTTGAAGAACGATTTGGCACATCACAGTGTCCACTGTATTACCACATGGTGGCTACAATAGCCAGTGCCTGAAGGAACTCATTTGTTTTGTGGTCAGCAACATCCTAAACCTTGTCCAAACTATGCTGTTTGAAGGTTTTTGGAAATAGAAATGGGTGAAATTGTATGACATGATAATAAATTACTAACCACCAAATCTTTCTAACTGAAGACCTCTTCATATACCTCTTGCTCCTTAGCCAAATTAAGTCAAGTAAGATATTAGGAGTAACCTAGAACTCTTTATTTCTTCACAATTTTAAATATTGCATTTGTAAACCAAAATGGAATTATTATTTCTGTGTCCAGTATCTTTATCAAACAAGCCTTTATTTGTACATACACAGTAACTATTACTGTTAAATACTTAAATACCTGTCTCTAGACAGGCAAAGGACTCCAAGATCAGAAAACCATGTATGATTGATTTCTTATTCCTCAAATCAAAAAACAGTCCTATTTTGAAAGCAAACAGTATGTCTAACAGGTTACTCTCTAGAGAAATTTAAGACAATTCATTTTTGCAAAATATGTCAAGCCATAAAGAAACTGAAAAGCAAATCAGCTGATAAAAATACAAGTAGACACACTGCAACATTGTTTAGCTCCCAACTGTAACAAGAAAAATAGAAAGATGATAGATATATAGATAAACAGCCTCAATGCATCGATCATGCCATCTCATAAATTCCAGTCCATTTAACAATCTTACTTATTTTTTGTAAATTAACAAAATTGGCACGTTGTTGTTTAGAAAATGAAAAAGAATAGAAACAGCCAGCAAACATATTACAGTCAAGTCCTACAAGTATTGATTTGAAGAGCTGAAGAGACCAATGCTATATTTATTGACATTAAGGGGATTTCTCTCTTGGGATACCAAGAAATGAGGTATCCTGAGAGAGAAGAAGCTCAACTTCCTTTACCTGCAGTGAAATCATTGGCCTTATCTATCTTCTTGTGAATTCATGTACAGATAAATTCTAGACCCCTACCTACACTTCAGGTTGTAGGTAAAAACACTGAAATCTCCAAATTTGTTTCGTTTTTATGAATATAATTGGTATAATAACAGCTTTTGGCAAAAGGAAACGGAGGGGGAGTATGATCTACTAATAAAAATAGTATCTGGACATTTATTACTTTTTTTATGCTTAATGTGCCTTTCATTCTTATAACTTAGCCAAGAGTTTTCCAGCAGCTGGAAATCTTTGAAATTAAACGATGCATGTGATTCAAAGAACAGTTATATCTCAGATCTAAGATGCAGAATGCATAGAGTTACCATTTCTGTTCAGTGGCATCATATAATTATGATGTAAACCTAATGTAAGTACAATGTAATTTTAGGTGACCGTCTCAAAGTCTTGCTAAAAATTATCCCAGGCACGTGTGTGACACACACAGACACACACACACACATATATAACTACTGTAATTAAGAGCGATTCTTCTGTGCGCTCCTCCTTATACACGCTTTAAAGCTGTTGGCCATAGTGGGTTCCGATTTGTGTTTGAAGTACCGCACAAGGAAGGTGGCCTGTGAAAAACGGGAAGGAAGGAGGCAAAACAGGAAGATGGAAGAAGAGAGTAGGCATGAAGGAAAGTGACAGGAGAAAGGAGGAGAGCCTCTTCCTTCCCCAACACACTCTTGTAGCTAGAAAGGTCCAAGCCCCCTCACCAAACACCAGACAAATCTTCCCAAAAGTTCCTGGCAGAGCCTTGGTGATGCCGAGGCTTGAGTGCGCCCCTCCTTGGTGCCCCAGCCACCAGGGCACGCAGGAGCATCCTGGAGCCTCAGCCCAGCAAACTCTTGGGTAGTTCAGGTTCCCTTCCGCGCCCGCTGCCTGCAGTCAATCACTGGGCACCGCGCGCCCATCCGTCACCTACTCCAGGGCTTCCAAGCCCTGAATCCTTCTGCCTCTCTCCATTCTCCCTTAGCCTCTCTCCATCCTCTCCTCCCCAGTGACTTGTCAAGAGGTCCAAGGGCGGAAGCCGAAGCAGAGAAGATGAGGGCGAAAGGCTAGGGGCCGGTTGGCGGATTTCCTACAAGGGGCGACAATGACGCCGTCAAGACGACCATCCAGGCCCGGCGGCCCCATTCCCTCTTTGCCCCACATCAGCCCCACAGCACCCTACACTCTCCATTGAGGCTTCAGTGTGTGATGAAGTAAGAGAATGAGGAAAAATAAACCCGCAGCCTCCTAGGCAGCCCTTACCTCAGGCTGCCCTCGCAGAAGCCGCCCTCCTCCTGCCCGAGGCGCCTCTGCTGCACCGCCGCGGCCGCAGCGCTCTGGACGCCGGGGCTCCGCCCGGCGCGGGTAGACCATGCGCTGCGAGTGAGCCTTCCGCGCTCCCGGGGGTGGGGGACGAAAGTCTGCCCGGAGGGCGCTCGCGTGCAGCCCGGCCCGCGACGAAGAGCCTGCAGCCGCTGAGGCGAGGCCAGGAGCCCCGGGAAGGGGCGCGCGGGCCGGGGGCGCGCGCGCGGACGGGCCAGCGGGCTAGCCTGGGGAACCCGCGCCAGGGAGACACAGGCGCTGGCGACGCGCCCCTCAGCTCTTCTCTCGTCCTCTGGCCCTTTAAACCCCCTCTCCCTACTGTCCACCCCCGCCCCCCGGAAGAGAGACAGCTCGCCGGTGCCACTTGGTCTGCCGCGCTGCGCTCCTCAGCCGGGTGCGGGGAATAACAATGTGACCGTATCGCACGGACGAGATGCTGTGTAGTAGGTTGTAACTGCTGAGGCCACCACCTGTCAATTCTAGGGTGCAAAGCACGCCGTCCCCAGTCGTCTGGCCTCTCCCTGATTGCCCTCCCAGGTTATTTTTTCCCCCACCTACCTCACAGACCTCCTGCAATATTCCGCGGGCACGGTACCAGGGGAGTTTTGCAAAATAACCCTCTCTCCCAGCCGGGAGCTCACTGCATCTCCCTTACCACCAGAGCTGAAGGATTACGCACAGCCCTGCGTGCCTATCCAAAGCCAGAGACCGAAAATCCTGGTTTGAACCCCACACTCGCCGGCCCCCCAGCCCCCATTCATAATCCCAGCGGCCGTCTGCCACTACACACCCTCCCCCGGCCGCCCGCGCTCTTTCCCATTCGCCGTCCCTGGAACGTGTCAGTCACTCGCTGTGCATCTGCCATGAATACAAGACGAAGAGCTCTGCAGCTACTGGCTGCACAAAGAGGGACTGGGGCGCAGGGGACGCAGACCCCCGGGTTGGGGGAGGCGAGAGAGCCAGCGGGGCACATTACGTGGAAGGAGCCAGTGGGACCGTGGGAGTCCTCTGGTCTCCTGTTGCACAAAGGAGCGCCAGAGTGAATACGCGCAGTGCTCCTGAACCAACAGGTCAGATCACCTCCCAAGAGGTGCTCCACCAAGACACCCCTGAAGGTGAGTCCCACAACTTGGGAATTCGTGTGATGGAGCAACAGGCACTCAGTAACCTGACTGAGCCTGCTTTAAAAATGCAACAGGATGGAGAGAGAGCGAGAGCGAGAGCGAGAGAGAGAGAGAGAGAGAGAGAGAGAGAGTGTGTGTGTGTGTGTGTGTAGAGTGGGAGAGGTATGCTGGAAAGCACAAGTTTCCTTTTCCCCGGTTGTCCAGCCCTTTCAGTCAGAGAAAAAAAGAAGGAAGCTGGCAAGGAAAAGAGGAGGAAGATAGGCATGAAGTAACTTTGCCTATCCAACTACTACAGTAGCTAGAGACCAAAATGACTTTAATAGACAACATTCGCCTGTTTCTCGATTTATTCCAATAAACATCATGCACACCTACTGTGCACTGAGCACTTTGCAGAAGCTAAGGATGCAGAGTCGATTAGGACATAGTCTCTGCACCCAAGGAGCTCACTGCCTAATAGGAGAACCAACTATGAAAGCCCGAGACAAACAACACAAGTATTTCACAACAGAAGCACATGCCAATTGCATAAGTGGAAGCAATTTTTTCTATGTAAGAGAAGGAACAGGTCAGGGAATTTAAATCCCATCTGAACTGTGTATTAAAGGACAAATAGGGACCTCCCAAAGAAGGGCAATAACCTAATAACCTACTATTCACCCATTCACCCAAAATAGCTTTACATGCCTGTACATTGAAAGGCATGTCTAAGAGCTTATCAGTGTAGGAACTTAATGAACTTTCCCCTTCATGGTTTTGGAGGAAACATATTCAAACACTAGCGTTTGGAGTATAAAACACCTATTTCCCCACATCTGAGATGCTACCAAGTGTTCGCTGGTTATTCTGCCTTTTTGGACCTGTTGCTTACACTATACCATCTACCTCATCCATAACCTTGAAATTGAGCCCAAAGCCAAAATTAATAATAGTGAGGCAATAAGCACCTGAAAGGAAGCCAACAAAATCCGCAATGTAGTCATTGTTCTCACAGTTTTCATCTGTAAAATGATGATAATGGAATCTCTTTTTCTGAACTACAGTTAGGATTAGTTAGATGTATTAAATATAAGGCAACCATTGCCTAAAGAGAGTGTAAGGAATCTAAATTGTAGTTCAATCTAGGGGAAAAAAAGAACCAATTTGAGCATCATGCTGCCCCTTTTTGAATATGAGAAATTTGAAAGGTATTAATAATTACTAAGCCTCCCAAGGTTATTACATCATCTTCAGAAAAATGTGTCCAAAGAGTTCTTACTGCAAAAAGAATTATATACGGATTCCAGTAGAAAATGATGTCAGCTTTTTAAGCATCTTTCTCATCTCTTTCTAAAAATTACATAAACTAACAAAGAGAATGGAAAAAAACTGTCAAACACCATTTTCAACAAATTTATATAGATTTTACCTACAAACCCCAAAGCGCTTCTAAAGGTTACCAAAAGCAGCTGAGTTTGGGCAGAAGTCATATGGAAAAGGCCCAGGGAGAGGCAATGGGAACCAGCACTAGAAGTATCAGAAAGTGCCAGCAAAAGTATGTTTTCTGGGAAATGAGAGGTGTGTCGTAAAATGCAAAGCTGTCTCTCAAAAACTGGAGCAGAAGCAGAAGGAAGAAGGCAAAAGAGATACATACATACAGATGACAAAAGGAGAACAGGGAGTTCCCAGAAACATGGTAGGAGCAGATCTCAGGGTCAGCAAAACTTTAGTGCTTGAAGATGGTCAAATCACTATGAAATGTAAAAGTCCTGTTCCTTCTTTTTAAGAACTGGGGAGCAGAGAACTACTGGAAAAGGATCTTCTGGACATAATTCCCTTCAGAGTCTCAGAGGAAGTGAGTATACAAAGATGCCATAACTACTAAAAGCAGTCTGTTTGTGAGGCAACAGTAAAAGTGAATCCATAATCTATTGCTGCATAACAAGCCACCCGAAACAATGGTTTAAAAAGCTACCAGTGATTTGCCTACAATTTAGTGAGATGGAAAATTGGGATGGGCTCAGCTGTGTGGGCTCAATGGCTAATCTCTGCCCCATGCGGTATCAGCAGGTCTTACTCACAAATCTGGGCCTCTGGAAGGGATGGCTTGGACACCTAGGGCCTTTTCCCAGGAAGCTAGTCAGGCTTTTTCACATGGAGGTAGACATGTTCCCAGTAGCAAGAGAAATGGCAGCCTAGTGTTCATGCTGTAGTGTTCACACACTTTCAAGTTTCAAGCTTCTGTATGTGTTGTGTTTGTTAATGTCCCGTTGGCTAAAGCAAGTCATGTAGCTAAGTCCAGAGTCAATGTGGGAGTATTTTATGGGCATGGGTAGAGGGAGGTGTCAATTATTGGGGATCATTAAGTGGGAGCTATTTGTTTTGAGAACAGGAAAGCCACTTTGCAACCTCCACTTCAGGAACTTTCTCTAAGGAATTTGACCAGAAAAATAATTCATTCAATAGTGAGCAGTGATAAAGAAGAAACTGGCATAACACAGATACAGACATACTATTTTTAAAATTCAGAAAATTAGCATCAAAACTTTTTAATAGATGAGAGGAAAAAGTGTTGTCACAGAGACAATTAAAATTGTGACTATAAATTTCGAAATGCAAGAAAAAAACTAATAATACTTTAGCATAGTATTTACTGTTGCCAGGCAATATTCTTACCACTTTGTAGAGATATGAACTCAACTGATTCTCAACACAACTCTGTAAATTAGATATTGTTATTATTATTACCATTATATAGATTTAAAGACCTAAGGGACAAGTTAAGTAACACTCAAGATCACACAGTTAGAGGAAGACCCCGTATTTAAACACAGTTAATCTTGTTCTAGAGTCTTTGCTCTTATTCATAAGCAGCATAGTTTCTCTAAATTAAGCATATTTGTTGATATGTTAAGAAATAAACATCATCTATTAAGGAAAACCAAAAGGCACAAATGAAGAAACTCAAGAGAGAGATGAGGAGGATGAAATTAGTTGATTTTTTTAGCAGAAAGAAGAAGAAAAGCAAACCATGACAGAAATGAAGACAATATTGGAAGAAATACAAAAAAGGACTAAGTATTGCAGATAAGTAAGACATAGCAAATAAAAGTATTTGTGTGAAACTGATAATGATAGATGAAATACAACACACATATAATTGGAGTCTCTAAAGAAGAATGGGTGCAGCACACCAGCATGGCACATGTATACATATGTAACTAACCTGCACATGTTGCACATGTACCCTAAAACTTAAAGTATAATAATAATTTTAAAACAAAAAAAAAATCACCCAGAAAAAAAAAGAAGAAAACCTTATCAGTGGAACAGAGCAAATGTTTAAGCAAAATTTTTAAAAAACTTTCTTGAAACTGATAAAAAAAAGACTTCAATCTACATGTTCAAAATAAATACCATGTAGTAGAAAAAAATGATTCATGATGGTTGAACAAAGAAATATACTAACAAATTATTGAGTTTTATATATATGTAAGGAACCTTTGAAGCAGAAAAGAAAAAAAAATCAATTCTTGTAGAAAGAAAAAGAAATCAACCTACCCTCAGTCTTCTTGAAAGCAACATTCAAAGCCTAATGACAATGGGCTTTTGTTCCAATGAGAATGGAAACAAAACTTATTATATTCTCATGAAAAAAAATAATGATCTAAGGATTTTATATCTGGCTAGTTATTCATCATATATAAATGTCATATTTTTAAACATTAAAACTCAAAGAATATTCCTCCCATAAGGGGATATACTAGAATAAAAAAGGGAAAACTTTCTCAAAATGACTGGTGGTGAACACCAAATATATTTTTACTGTAAAACTAATACTACAAAAAATGTTTGAATGTTATAGGTTTTGAAAATATAGAAATGACACAAATCACAAATGTTAGGAAGGGAAAGAAAAAAGATGGTGGTAATTAGAATAAGTTCATTGACTGACTCACCTGTAACTGTTGAGGTTGAAAATGTCATTTAAAGCTGACATACAAGTAGTAGAGTAAGCACGCATAACATAAAAAGATAAACACTAAGAAATGTAATTTTTAAACAAAATATGACAGCTGATAAAATGCAGTATAGGAAAAAGAAGAGGATACATACCAATTTATCATTGCTCATAACTGTTATATCCAAAACAATAGAGAATATGAGTATATAAAGATGGAATTATAAAGGTAGCAGCTGGAGAGCAAATTTGCACCTTAGTGCACACCTTGTTAAATGTCAGAGGAACCATAAACTCATGCGCATGTGTATAATCACACACGTATCCATGTATATATCAAAGAATTGTGACAAATATTTTTCAATCAATACACATTTTAAGCTATTTTTTAAAAGCATTTTCAAATTGCATTAAAACCAAAACTCCATGCTATATATAAGTACACATTGGAAAAAAAAGGTTCAGATGGTTGAAAATTAAAGGAAGAGCAGAGTTTTACCCAAATAATGCCCCTGCACATTCCCCCCACCCAAATACATGGAAAAGGAATAATAATAATATAGCAGTACTTATGACTTTAATTTCAGACAAGTTGGACTCAGGACAAACAAGTATTAAATAAAACAAAGAAAAGCACTTTATGATAGAAAAAGTAAAAATCACAATGAAGATGTGAAATTTATAAATATCTATGAACCAAATACATAGCAGAAATTTGTATATACAAGTTTTATTACAAGAGATATAAAGACATATGGAAAGTAACAGACCAAAAATAGGACAGTTTTACTCATCTCCCTCAGTCAAACTCTACATATATCAGACTTTGTGCCTCAAAAGTAGAGATTACATATTCTTTTTAAGGGCTAATATTATATTCATAAAAATTGCCATTTATTAAACCATAAAGATAAAATGCAAAAATAGGAAATTATGGACAACACTATATGATCACAATTCCATAAAAACAGAAATTAATAGAAAAATCAGAAAAATAAAAATCTTTCCACGTGAAAATTCTAAACAAAAAACTCTCTTAAATAACTTTATGAACAAAAATTGTAGGATTTCTTGAAAATAATGAGGTATGAAAACACTACTGAATAGAATTCCGTGATACAGCTTAAGCTTAATTCATGAATTATGCACCAACTCAAAAAGTTAGAAAAACAACTATTAAATAGAAGAAAACTAAAAAATATTAAACAATTTAGAAGAATTAATAAATGAGTTAAGAAAGGAAGGTGATTAGAGCTAATGTGTAATTTGAAAAGCCAGCCTTTTTAATATTTAAAATAATTGTTAAATTAATAAAAAAAATAAATACAAAGTAAGAAATTATAAGGGGTTAAACATAGAAATAAAGAATGTTAATATAATTCTAAAGACTACTTTAATCTGTTATAATGTTCTTCAACCATTTTTTCATTTTTGCTTCACAAGAAAATTTTAATTTAATTTTTCCCTAATGAGAATTAGAATATCTCCGAATTGTAATATCGGAGATATATTGCCCCAATTGACAGTACATGCTCTACTATATGCAAATGCATTTGAAAACCTGGGTTAAATGGGTATTTTTAGTGGGAAATATAATTAACCTAAACTGACCCTAGAGGACAGAGAAAATCCAAAGGGAAAAAGTTGAGAAAATTGTCAATTCCTTGCCCTCCTCCAATGAGTAACCAAGCCAATATGAATATTACAAGGAAATTTTACCAAACCGTTGAAGAATGGATAATTCTCATGATATCTAATCTATTAAAAAGTGTAAAAAAGAAGGAAAATTTTCAATTAAATTTTATAAAGTATTTAGCACTAATACTAAAATTTAATAAGGGCCACACATAAAGGAAACCTATAGACCAGTCTTACTTTTAAATCAAGAATCCAAGACTATAAGCATAATTCAATATTAACAATTTTTTTCAGGTAAATAATCATAGGGAAAGATCTAAATAGAAAGAACCATAAAATTTTTATTCTAGAGACATTAAAAAGGCATCTGAAAAATTCAGTAGCCATTTTTAAGAGTTTCTCACTTTTTAATTTAATTTAATTTTGTATTGATACATAATAGATGAACATATTTGGGGCATACATGTGATAATTTAATACATTTATATAAATTGTAAAGATAAAATCAGTGTAATTGGGATATCCATCACATTAAATGTCTTTTCTTTATGCTAACAACATTTGATTATTCTCTTCTAGCTATTTTGAAATATGCAATAGATAACTGTAAACTATAGTCACCCTACTGATCTATCAAACACAAGGTACACAAGGTTTTCTTCTTTCATCTATCAAAATGTGTATTTGTACCCATTCATCAACCTCTCTTCATTTTCCCTCTTCCCTTTCCTTTCCAGCCTCTGGTAACTACCAATCTTCTCTCTATCTCAATGAGATCCACTTTTTCAGCTCCCACGTATGTGTAAAAACATGCAATATTTTTCCTTCTGTGCTTGGCTTTTTCACTTAACATAATGACCTCCAGTTACATCCATGTTGCTGCAAATGACAGTATTTCCCCATTTTTATGGCTAAAAAATATGGCAATGTGTATATAGACCATATTTTCTTTATCTATTCATTCACTGATGGACACATAATTTGATTCCATATTTTGGCTATTCTGAATAGTGCTGCAATAGACAGAGTGCAGATATCTCTTCAACATAATGATTTTTTTTCTTTTGGACATATACAGAGTAGTGGAGTTGCTGGATCATATGGTAGTTCTATTTTCAGTTTTTTGAGGAAGCTCCATAGAGTTTTCCATAGTGGCTCTACTATTTTACATTCCCACCAGTCATGT
Source organism: Homo sapiens (assembly GCF_000001405.40). Lineage (NCBI taxonomy): Eukaryota > Metazoa > Chordata > Mammalia > Primates > Hominidae > Homo > Homo sapiens. The sequence goes on along the minus strand of NC_000001.11, from coordinate 65,785,300 downwards.
ATGAAGGTTGCCCTTTCTCCACATCTTCAGTGGCATCCATTATTTCCTGCCTTTTTAATAAGAGCCATTTTAACTGGGATGAAATTACATTTCATTGTTTTGCATTTCTCTGATGATTAGTGGTGCTGAACATTTTTTCATATGCCTGTTGGCCATTTATATGTCTACTTTTGAGAATGTGTGTTGAGCTTTTTTGCCCATTTTTAAATTGGATTATTTGGGATTTTTGCTTTTGAGTTGTTTGAGCTCCTTACATATTCTGGTTATTAATCCCTTGTCAGATAGATAGTTTGCAAGTATTTTCTCCCATTCTATGGATTGTCTCTTCACTTTGTTGATTGTTTCCTTTTCTGTGCAAAACTGTTTTAGCTTGCTACAATCTCATTTGTCTACTTTTGTTTTGATTCCTGTGCTTTTGAGGTCTTATCCCCAAAATTTTTTGCCCAGACCAATGTCCTGCAGCATTTGCCCGATAGTTTCTTCTACTAGTTTCATAGTTTCAGATCCTCAGTTTAAGTCTCTGATCCATTTTGATTTTATGTTTTTATGTTACGAGAAATCAAAGTCTAGTTTCACTCTTCTGCATATTGTTATTCAGTTTCATGGCACCATTTATTGAAGAAACTGTCCTTTTCCCATAGCATGTTTTTGATACCTTTGTCAAAAATGTGTTTACTGTAAATATGTGGATTTATATCTGGGTTCTCTATTCGCTTCCCTTGGTCTTTGTGTCAGTTTTTATGCCAGTACCATGCTGATTTGGTTACTATTGCTTTATAGCATATTTTGAAGTCAGTGTGATGCCTCCAGCTTTGTCCTTTTTGCTCAGGATTCTTTTCACTATTTAAAGTCTTTTGTGCTTCCATATAAATTTTAAGGGTTTTTTAAATTTCTGTGAAGAATATCATTGGCATTTTGATAGAGATTGCATTGAATCTGTAATTTGTTTTGGATAATGTTATAATTTTAAATATATTAATTATTTCAGTTCATAAGCATGTAATATCTTTCCATTTTTTGTGTTCACTTCAATTTTCTTTCATCAGAATTTTATAATTTTCCTTATGTAGAACTTTTACTTCTTTGGTTAAATTGATTCCTAGGCATTTTATATTCTTTGTAGCTGTTGTAAATAGCTTCCTTGATTTACTGTGCAGATTGTTTGTTGTTGGCATATATAAATGCTGATTTTTTATGTTGATATTGCATTCTTATAATTTTACTTATTTATCAATTCAAATAGTTTTTGGTAGAGTCTTCAGATTTTTTTTAAGTATAAGGTCATGTCATCTGCAAACAAAGCTAATTTGAACTCTTCCTTTGCAATTTAGATGCCCTTTATTTCTTTCTCTTGCCTAATTGCTCTGGCCAGGACTCCCAGTATTATGTTGAATAAAATGGTGAAAATGGGTATCCTTGTCTTGCTCCAGATCTTAGAGGAATGGCTTTCAATTTTTCTCCATTCAGCACAATGTTAGCTGTGAATTTGTCATATGTGGCCTTTGTTGTGTTGAGGTATGCTCCTTCCATATCCAGTTTGTTAAGAATTTTTATCATAAAGGGGTGTTGAATTTTATCAAACGCTTTTTCAGCATCTATTGTAATTATCATACGGTTTTTGTTCTTGGTTCTATAGATGTGATGTATCACATTTTTTTCTCTTTTGGAGTATTTGACTTGATGTTGTTGCTATTTTTGTAAATTTCAATAGGTTTTGGGGGAACAGGTGGTGTTTGGTTACATGGATAAGTTATTTAATGGTGATTTCTGAGATTTTGGTGCACCCATTACCCAAGCAGTGTACTCTGTACCCAATGTGTAGTATTATATTCTTCGCCTCCCTACCATCTTCCCCCCGAGTCACTGAAGCCTATTGTATCATTGTTATGGCTTTGTGTCCTCATAGCTTAATTCACACTTATAAGTGAGAACATTTGATGTTTGGCTTTCAATTCCTGAGTTACTTCACTTAGAATAATGGCCTCCAACTCCATGCAGGTTGCTGTGAATTATATTATTTCATTTCTTTTTATGGCTGAGTAGCATTCCATGGAATATATATACCACATTTTCTTTATCCACTCGTTGATTGATGGGCATTTGGGCTTATTCTATATTTTTACAATTGCAAACTGTGCTGCTATAAACATGCATGTGCAAATGTCTTTTTCATATAATGACTTATTTTCCTCTGGGTAGATACTCAGTAGTGAGATTGCTGGATCACATGGTATATCTACTTTTAGTTCTTTAAGGAATCTCCATACCATTTTCCATAGTGGTCGTACTAGTTTACATTCCCATTAGCAGTGTAAAAGTGTTCCCTTTTCACCACGTCCATGCCAATATCTATTTTTTTTTATTTTTTAATTATGGCCATTCTTGCAGGAGTAAGATGGTATTATATTGTGGTTTCAATTTGCATTTTCACGATAATGAGTGATGTTGAGCATTTTTTCATATTTTTTGGCCATTTGTATATTTTCTTTTGAGAATTGTCTATTCATGTTCTTAGCCTACTTTTTGATGGGATTGTTTGTCTGTTTTTTTTTTCTTGCTGATTTGTTTGAGTTCCTTGTAGATTCTGGATATTAGTTCTTTATCGGATGCATACTTTGCAAAGATTTTCTCCCACTTTGTGGTTGTCTGTTTACTCTGCTGATTATTTCTTTTGCTGCACACCAACTTTTTAGTTCAATTAAGTCCCATCTATTTATATTCATTTTTATTGCATTTGCTTTTGGGTTCTTGGTCATGAAGTCTTTGCCTAAGCCAGTGTCTAGAAGGGTTTTTCCAATGTTATCTTCTAGAATTTTTATGGTTTCAGGTCTTAGATTTAAGTCTTTGATCCATCTTGAGTTGATTTTTGTGTAAGATGAGAAATCCTCATTTCCAGTTTCATTTTTCTATATGTGGCTTGCCAATTATTCCATCTCATTTGTTTAATAGGATGTCCATTCCCCCACTTTATGTTTTTGTTTGCCTTCTCAAAGGTCAGTTGGCTGTAAGTATTTGGCTTTATTTCTGGGTTCTATATTCTGTTCCATCAGTCTATTTGCCTATTTTTATGCCAGTACCATGATGTTTTGGTGACTGTAGCCTTATAGTAGAGTTTGAAGTCAGGTAATGTGATGCCTCCTGATTTGTTATATTTGCTTGGTCTTTCTTTCACTATGCAGGCTCTTTTTTTGGTTCCATATGAATTTTAGAATTGTTTTCTCAGTGATGGTAGATGATGATGAGAACAATGATGATATTTTGATGGGAATTGCATTGAGTTTGTAGATTGCTTTTGGCAGTATGGTCATTTTTACATTATTGATTCCACCCATCCATGAGCATGGGATATGTTTCCATTTGTTTGTGTCATCTATGATTTCTTTCAGCAGTGTTTTGTAGTGTAGTTTTCTTTGTATGGATCTTTTACGGCTTTGGTTAGGTATATTCTTAAGTTTTTTTTGTTTTGTTTGCACCTGTTGTAAAAAAGTGTTGAGTTCTTGATTTGATTCTGAGCTTGGTCGCCGTTGGTGTATAGCAGAGCTACTGATTTGTGCACATTACAGTATACTGAAATTTTGCTGAATTCATTTATCAGTTCTAGGAGCTTTTTGGATGAGTCTCTAGGGTTTTCTAGATATACAATCATATTATCAGTGAACAGCAACAGTTTGGCTTCCTCTTTTCTGATTTGGATGCCCTTTATTTCTTTCTCCAGTCTGATTGCTCTAGCTAGGACTTCCAGTACTATGTTGAAGAGAAGTGATGAAAGTAGGCATCCTTTTTGTGTTCCAGTTCTCGTGGGGGATGCTTTCAACTTTTCCCTGTTTGGTGTAATGTTGGCTGTGGGTTTATCATAGATGGCTTTTATTACCTTAAGGTAGGTCCCTTCTGTGCTGATTTTAGCTGAGTCTTTTAATCATAAAGGGATCCTGGAGTTTGTCAAATGCTATTTCTGTGTCTATTGAGATAATCTGTAATTTTTGTTTTTAATTCTGTTTATGTGGTATATCACATTTATTGACTTGCAGGTGTTAAACCATCTCTGCATCCCTGGTATGAAAGCACTTGATCATGGTGGATTATCTTTGTTATATGCTGTTGGATTCGGTTAGCTAGTATTTTGTTGAGTATTTTTGCATCTATGTTCATTAGGGATATTGGTCTGGAGTTTTCTTTTTTTGTTATGTCCTTTCCTAATTTCGATATTAGGGCAATACTGGCTTCATAGAATGGTTTAGGGAGGATTCACTCTTTCTCTGTCTTTTGGAAGTGTCAATAAGATTGGTATCAATTCTTCTTTGACTTTCTGATAGAGTTCAGATGTGAATCTATCTGGTCCCAGACTTTTTTTTGTTGGCAATTTTTTTTTAAATTACCATTTCAACCTTGCTGCTTGTTATTGGTCTGTTCAGAGTTTTTGTTTCTTCCTGGCTTAATCTAGGAGGGTTGAGTATTTCCAGGAATGTATCCATCTCCTCTAGGTTTTCTAGTTTGTATGCATAAAGGTGTTCATAGTATCCTTGAGTGATCTTTTGTATTTCTATGGTATTGGCTCTAATATAACCAATTTTGTTTCTAATTGAGCTTATTTGGATCGTTTCTTTTCTTGGTTAATCTCACTAGTGGTCTATCAATTTTGTTTATCTTTTCAATCAGCTTTTTGTTTCATTTGTCTTTTGTATTGATTTTTTTATTTTATTTTGTTTCAATTTAATTTAGTTCTGCTCTGATCTTAATTATTATTTCTTTTCTTCTGCTGGGTTTCGGTTTGGTTTGTTCTTCTTTCTCTAGTTCCTTGAAGTGTGACCTTAGATTGTCTATTTGTGCCCTTTCAGACTTTTTAATGTAGGCATTTCTTGATTTGTGTGTGTTGAACCATCATCCTAGCATCCCTGAGATGAATCCCACTTAACCACGTTGAATGATCTTTTTCATGTGTTGTTGAATTCAGTTTGCTAGTATTTTGTTGAGGATATTTGCATCTATGTTAATAAGTGATATTGGCATGTATTTTTCTTTGTGGTATACTTATTTGGTTTTAGTATCAGGATAATGCTGGCCTCATATAAGTTTGGAAGTATTCCCTCTTCTTCAATTTTTTTGAAGTGTTTGAGTAGAATTGGTATTACATTTTCTTTGTGCTTTTTTACAATTCAGCAGTGAAGCTATCAGGTCCTGGGTGCTCTTTGATGAGAGATGTTTTATTACTGACTCAATCTCATTACTCATTATCGGTTTGTTGAGGTTTTCTATTTCTTCATTTTCAAAACTTATCTGTTTCCTCTAGGTTTTCCAATTTGTTGGCATGTAGTTGTTTATAATAACTTTTCATATGAGATTATCTATGTTTCTGTGGTCTTGGTTGTTACATCTCCTGTCTCATTTCTGATTTTATTTATTTGAGTCTTCTCTTTTTTCTTAATTAGTGTAGCTAAAGATTTGTTGATTTTTTCTTTTCAACCCATCTTGTCATTTTATTGATCTTCTGTATTGATTGTTTAGTCTCAAGTTCATTTCTTTCTGCTCTGATCTTTATTTCTTTCCTTCTACTAATTGTAGGTTTGGTTTGTTCTTGCTTTTTAAGGGCCTGGGAAGGGTGCATTGTTAGGTTGCTTATTTGAAGTCTTTCTACTTCTTTGAAGTAGGTGTTTATTGCTATAAACTTCTTTCTTAGTACTGATTTTTCTGTATTCCGTAGATTTTTGTTCGTTATATTTCCATTTTTATTTGTTTCAAGAGATTTTAAATTTTCCTTCTTAATTTCTTTTTCCACTCATTGGTCATTTAGGAGCATGTTGTTTAATTTCTCTTTGTTTGTGTATTTCCCAGGTTCCTTTAGTTATTGATTTCTAGTTTGTTTTCATTGTGGTCAGAAAAGATACTTGATAGTATTTCTACTTTTTTGAATTTGTTGAGACTTGTTTTGTGGTTTAAAATATGGTTTATTCTGGAGAATGTTCCATGTGCTGATGAATAGAATGTGTATTCTGCAGCAGTTGGATGAAATGTTCTATTAGTGTTAGTTAGGCATATTTGTTCTAGTGTGTGGTTTAACTCCTATATTTCTTTGTTGATTGTCTGTCTGGATGATCAGTCTATTACTCAAAGTGGGGTGCTGAAGTCCCCTACTATTATTGTACTACAGCCTATCTCTCCCTTTAGATCTATTAAAGTTTTCTTTACATAATTGAGAGCTCTGGTTTTGGGTGCATAAATATTTATGATTGTTATAGCCTCTTTCTGAATTGAGCCCTTTATCATTATATAGTTCCCTTCTTTGTCTCTATTTACAGTCTTTGATTTGTAGTCAATTTTATCTGATATGACTTTAGTGACTCCTGCTCTTTTTTGGTTTCTAATTGTTTGGAATATCTTTTTCTGCCTATTCACTTTTAGTTTATGTGTGTCTCTACAGGTAAAGTAAGTTTCTTGTAAACAGCATATAGTTAGTTCTTGATTCTTTTTTTTTTTTTTTTTTCTCACAAATGCCATGTTCATTGCTGTATTTCTTTTCTTTTTTTTTTTTTTCTTGACTTCTCCATTCTTTTTTTTTTTCTTTTTTAATTATTATTATTATTATACTTTAAGTTTTTAGGGTACATGTGCACATTGTGCAGGTTAGTTACATATGTATACATGTGCCATGCTGGTGCGCTGCACCCACTAACGTGTCATCTAGCATTAGGTATATCTCCCAGTGCTATCCCTCCCCCCTCCCCCGACCCCACCACAGTCCCCAGAGTGTGATATTCCCCTTCCTGTGTCCATGTGATCTCATTGTTCAATTCCCACCTATGAGTGAGAATATGCGGTGTTTGGTTTTTTGTTCTTGCGATAGTTTACTGAGAATGATGGTTTCCAATTTCATCCATGTCCCTACAAAGGACATGAACTCATCATTTTTTATGGCTGCATAGTATTCCATGGTGTATATGTGCCACATTTTCTTAATCCAGTCTATCATTGTTGGACATTTGGGTTGGTTCCAAGTCTTTGCTATTGTGAATAATGCCGCAATAAACATACGTGTGCATGTGTCTTTATAGCAGCATGATTTATAGTCATTTGGGTATATACCCAGTAATGGGATGGCTGGGTCAAATGGTATTTCTAGTTCTAGATCCCTGAGGAATCGCCACACTGACTTCCACAATGGTTGAACTAGTTTACAGTCCCACCAACAGTGTAAAAGTGTTCCTATTTCTCCACATCCTCTCCAGCACCTGTTGTTTCCTGACTTTTTAATGATTGCCATAGTTCTTGATTCTTTATTCATTCATCTATTATGTGCCTTTTAATTGGACAATTGAATCCATTTACTTTCATGTTTATTGATAAATGGGGACTTACTGTTGCTACTTTCTTGCTTATCTTTTGGTTGTTTTGTAACTTATTTCTATCTTCCTTTCTTAATGTCTCCCTTTGTGGTTAGTGATTTTCTCTGGTAGTATGTTTTAATTCATTGCTTTATATTTTTAGTGAATCTATTATAGGTTTTAGCTTTGTGGTTACCATGAAGCTTACAAAAACATCTTACAGCTATAAGAAGCTATTTTAAGGAGATGACAACTTATGTTAGATCACAAAAAAAGAATAGAAACAAACAATCACAGAAAAAAATTTAAAAACTCTACATTTTAACTCCCTCCCACATTTTTACTTTATGTTGTTGCAGTTTAAAAATTTTTATATTGCATAACTCTTAACAGGTTTCTATAGCTATTATTGTTATAGATTTGTCTTTGGGGTTTCATACCATCTGCTTGGAATTTTTCCTCTTCTCTGTGGCCCTAGGAACTGTTTCCTCATATTTGAGTTCTGGAATATTGCTAGTGATGATCTTGATGCCTTTATATTTGTTTTTGCTTTTCTGTGGGGGAAAGCAGAGCCAGCTTGCTTCTATGTCACTAGTTGGGAACCAGAAGACTCAGTTAATAACCACTTTTTATTTAAGAAAAAAAACCTCCCAGTTATCTAGGTGCATATAAATCCTTGATCAACAAGGATTCTAATTGAGCTTATTTGGATCTTTTCTAGATCTGAGATAGGTAAACTTATCTACCTCAACTCAAAAGCCATATTAAAGATAAAACAGTAAAGGCATTTCCACTAAAGTAAGGGAAAGTACCATGATGCAATTTTTATAACTATCTTTAACATTACGCTTGGCTTATAAGTTAATGCAGAGAAGAAAAAGAAATGGCCAGGCATGGTGGCTCACACCTGTAATCCCAGCATTTTGGGAGGCCAAGGCAGGCCGATCATCTGAAGTCGGGAGTTCGAGACCAGCCTAAGCAACATGGAGAAACACTGTCTCTACTAAAAATACAAAATTAGCTGGGTGTGATGGCGCAAGCCTGTAATCCCAGCTACTTGGGAGGCTGAGACAGGAGAATCGCTTGAAGCTGGGAGGTGGACTTTGCAGTGAGCCGAAATCATGCCATTGCATTCCAGCCCGGGTAACACGAGCAAAACTCCGTCTCAAGAAAAAAAAATGAAAGAAAAATAAATTAAAGGTCTAACCATTTGAATTCAGAAGGTTAATCATGGTTAATTTTTGTGTCATCTCAACGGAGTCACAAGATGCCCAGATATCTAGTTAAACATTATTTCTGAAATATAATTTTAGTCCTCCATAAAAAAGAATGAAATTATGTCATTTGCTGCAACATAAATGGAACTGGAGGACATTATGTTAAGTGAAATAACTCAAGGACAGAAAGACAAATTCCACATGTTCTCATTCACATGTGGGAGCTAAAAACACTTGATTACATGGAGATAGAGAATATAATGACAGGTACCAGAAGCCAAGAAGGGTGTGAGTCTGGTGAATGGGTACAAACTCATGTTAAATAGAAAAAATAAGTTCTAATGTTCAATAGTGGACTAGGGTGACTATATTGTCATTCTATATATTGTATTTTTTAAGGTGGCTAGAAAAGAGGACTTAAAATGTTGCCAAGACATAGAAATGATAAATACTTAAGGTGATATATGCCCCTAATACCTTGATTTGATCACTACATAATCTATGCATAAAAAAAAATACTCCAAAAATGTATAAAATATTATGTATCAATAAAATGTAAAACATTATTTGTGGGTATATCTGTTAGTGTGTTTCTGGAAGAGATTAGCATTTGAACTGGTAGACTTAGAAAGCAGATTGCCCCCCTCAATGTGGGTGGGCATCATTCAGTCCATTGAGGACCTGATTAGAACATAAAGGCCAAAGAAGAAAGAATTCTCTATCTCATATTGACTCCTTAATCTGGAAAATTGATTCTTCTCCTGCCCTCAGACTGGGACTTACACCATAGACCCCCAGATTCTCAAGTCTACATACTTGGACTAAAACTCATACCATCAGTTCCCCTCATTCCCAAGCCTTTGTACTCAATCAGCCTAGAAATATAATACCAGCTTTCTGTGCTTCCAGGTTGCAGGTGGCAGACTGTCAAACTTCTCAGTCTCCATAATCATGTGAGCCAATTCCTCATAATAAATATATATATATATATATATATATTTATATCCAACAGGATATATATATATCCTGTTGATTCTGTTTCTCTGGAAAACCCTGACTAATACAGAACTAAAACCTTCACTATTTGTGAAAAATATGAGAATATCTGGAAACTCCAAGCAAATCAATTAAAAACTATTACAAACAATGTGTTGTATCAATATATAGAAAAACAGCTTTTACATATACAAACAACAACCAGTTAGACATAATGAATAAAATGTCTCACATTAGCAACAAAAAAGCTGAAATATCCAAAAATAAACTAAACAGAGAATGTTTAAGATCCATAGGGTCGTGATCTGCATAACAATGCTTTGATCAGTGATAAATGCATATACAACAGTGGTCCCATAAGATTATAATGAAGCTGCCCTTTAGAGTTATATCATTTTTAATCTTTTATACCATATTTTTACTGTACCTTTTCTATGTTTAGATACACAAATAATTTCCTTTGTGTTACAATTGTCTACAGTATTCAGTACAGTAACATGCTGTTGTAGCCTGAGAGCAAAAAGCTATACCGTATAGCCTATCTGTGTAGTAGGATATACCATCTAGGTTTGCATAAGCATATTCTGTTATGTTTGCATGACAAAATCACCTAACCATACATTTCCCCAAACATAATATTAAGTGATGCATGACTGTCTATATGCAGAAAACTTTGGTTGACTACTGAAGGACACAAAAGAAAACATAAACAAACAAAAACATTCCATGTATTTCAACAGGTAGATTCAACATAATAAAGACAATAGTTCTAAATTAATTAATAAATTTAAAGTAATTACTCCAAAATATAATTTTTTAGAATCAAAAAAGCTATTTCTAAATTTCATGCAGAAGAATAAACAAGAAAAATTCTAGAATAAAACAGGGACACAAATCTTAAATTCAAAAGCCATTAAAAGGAGATTGAAAAATTTGACTGTGTAAGAAAAAGAAAACTTCTGTATACCAAAAAGAAAAATAAATAAAAGAGAGGTTAAACAAACAACAATAAGTAAAGTCAAAAGGAAAAGATGAATTGGGATAAATTATTTGAAAATTTGGAAGCACCTCTCACCTTTTGCTTGGGGGAGTACAAACTGAATCAGCTTCTTTGGCAGGCAATTTAATCATGTAGATTCCTATTGAAAAATGTATGTACATTCTGACCCAAAAATCTCATTTTTATTGTATTTCAATTATTATATATACTGAATATATTAAAGCAAATATACTAACAGTTACTAAAGTTGACTAACATATGAAATAATACATATACAAATGCATTTGTTGCAACATCTTTAGGAATGACAGAAGATTGAAAATAGCTCAAGTATTTTATAACAAAGATATAGCCATACAATGGAATACTACTATGCAGCTAAAAAAAAAAAAAAAAAAATGAAAAAACTAAGAGTAATCCTTCTGTGTACCAACACAGAAATTTTCCTAAGATATGTTATTAAGTTTAAAAAGTAGATTACCTTTGGATAACAAATAGATAAATGTAAGAACATGTATTTGTCTTAGTTAAATACAAATTATTTAAGTCTCTGAAAGTATATCCAACAAACAAATAAAAATGCTTAATTCTGGAGATGGAGTAGGATCTGGGACATGGGTAATAAGCTTTTCAGTGAGTTTTTATAATTTTTATCTATTTAAATATTTTAAAAGATAAATTTAAAAGTCATTAAATGTAATGTGAATTATGTGTTTCTATCTGCCAGGCTGTCTTTAATGTTGGGGAAAAAATTTGATGTGCCACAGAACAATAACATTACTTTCAGTGATTTCTTTCTGTGAAAAGGTCAAACTAATTTTCACATGCAGAGTATAATCATGTTATCAACCATGATTCATGTGGTTATTTCAGGAATGTAATCTTTCTTATTTATTGATTAATCATATATTCAAGTGTCAAAAGGAATGACAATTTCTAACGAAATGATATATTTATCCATATCCCCGTTTGAAAGCTCTTTTATATTAGACTTTAGGCCAAGATTGGCTGACTTCAAACATAAAGTTGAGCCTAGCCATTTGATGAACTTGTAATATCTACAAATTCAACTCTGCTGTTCTCAAACCTCAGCCCTTAAGTAGGAACAGAGCAATCCTCTAATAATGTCAACCTCAGAAGAATGTACAGCTCATCTCATAGACAGCCACCAGCAAAAATTCAAAATAAGGATCATTGTCAATCCGGGAACAACAGGGTTATGAATAGTCTGGGAAACTTAGACTTGCTCTGGTTTCACCTCTATAACTCATTCTTTGGGAGAGCAAGCATAAGTAAACAATGATTAATTTTAAGGTGAAAGAACAGCTTCAAAGCAATTCAAATCTTCATGTTTCCCCCTACGATCTTCCTCAAAAATAACTTCAGTCCCTCCTGGTTTTCTTTTTTTTTTTCTTTGAGACAGAGTCTCGCTCTGTCGCCCAGGCTGGAGTGCAGTGGTGCGATCTCAGCTCACTGCAACCTCTGCCTCCCGGGTTCACGCCATTCTCATGCCTCAGCCTCCTGAGTAGCTAGGACTACAGGTGCCCGCCACCACGCCTGGCTAGTTTTTTTTTTTTTTTTTTTGTATTTTTAGTACAGACGGGGTTTCACCACGTTAGCCAGGATGGTCTCTATCTTCTGACCTCATGATCTGCCTGCCTCGGCCTCCCAGAGTGCTGGGATTACAGGCGTGAGCCACCACGCCCGGCCCCAGTACCTCCTGGTTTTCTAAAGCGCTCATATGGATTACCACACACAATGTTTGAAAAATCCTCTAATTTCATCTACAAGAAGACCTACAACAGTAATGTTACTAAAGTTGACAGTATTTATTATACTGGGGTATACAGTTTCCCAAGATATACAGTTTCCTGGCAGTAGAAGTTGCCAGGATTTTGTATAGCCTTGAATATATGTAATATGTGGTCATTCATAATATGCACAACAATATGTAATCCAGAGAGCCGTTGGAAGATTGAGTAAATACATATAAAACTCGTTAGATGGATTTGAGTCACTTCCTTCCTTCCTGACTAGTGAATAGAATCAATTTGCTTGGCCACAATGAAACCAACCAAAACCCCTTTATGCTACATATCAATAAGTTTATATCTAAGAATTTGGAGAATTCTGAACTTGATTTATTAACCAATGGCCTGCTATTATCTGAAAACTTGCATTGTCTTACAATTTTCTAATAAGTTATAGCAATGCATGTTTACCAAATGATTTTGGGTAGTAAATTCTACAAATGACAAAGTGATGTGAAAATGTGAATTTGAGTGTAGCATATTTACCTCCAAAGGGCTCATTTACATATCACATCAACTCTGTAGGTAGGGAAGGGCAGAAAACATCTTCATTTCTGATAACATTCAAAAGTAAGCCTTAGAAAGATAAAAAATAAAAACAAAAAACCCTCATGGCCAGTATAAGACTTTGTTCTGTATTCCCTCATTCAACCAACATTTATCAAACATATAACACATATTAAATACACCCATGTGCTGTGAATGATGCTAAGTGTCTAGAATAGTGTTGAATAGGTTGAGTACCAAGCCTGCCAAAAACTATAAATGGTCAGAGTTAGCATCTGCCTAGTTCAAAACAGAATTTGCCAAGGGACTTTTGGCCAAGCATCTGGGATCTACTGATTTTTCTAAAGGAAGCACAGCTATGATTTGGGTATACCAGTTTAAGTAAAGTGCAGAGGTCCAAGAGTTAAGGTTCAGCATTAAAATCCAGAGTTAAGGTGCAGAAATGCAAGCTCAGCTATGAATTAAGATACGGCAAAATCTAGCCCATGTTGCTGGTCACTGGGCCCTCATTTTCTAGAACTACTTGGTGACCTAGTACAAGATTCAGTGGAATAGCTTCCACTAGCTAGAAAGTTTCAGCCCCTGACACTCCACATTTGTTAGCACACATCTCCTTCACACTGAATGCTGCCCTAAAAGTTTGGAATTCATCAATATGTAGCTGGTACATAAAGTCATAAGTACAGATAAGTTTACCTATGTAATGAGTTTCAATTGAGAATAGCAGAGGTGTACCCTAGAACACATCAATACTTAAGAGGTTATGGAGATAAGGAAAACCCAGCAATGGAGACTGAAAATCAGGGGGAGAACTAAGAGAGAAAGTGATACTCCTAAAGTAAGTGAATAGAATGTTTAAAGAAGTAAGAAACTTACCAATGATGAAAAATTGTGATTTCATTTAAATAATATGAAGACTGAGAACTGAACATAGTTTTTGTAAATGTGGAGATCAACTCATGACTTTGTAAGAGTCAAAGGAGTAAGGAAAAAAAGCTTGAATAAAGTAGATTGAAGAAAGAATGGAGGGGTCAGATAAGTGGATACAATAGCTTTAGACAGGTTTTCTGGAAACATTTCTTAAACAGGAACAAAAGAATGAGACCGCAGCTGGATGTGGCAATATTTTAAGATGGGAGATATGACAGCATGTTTGTATGCTGTGTGGTAGTAATCCAGTAGCTTGAAAAACATGATGAAGTCATTTACAGGAGCAATATCATGGAGGAGAAAAGAGAAAAGATGGGTGGGAACCTGTGTACCAGCAGAGGGAGGCTTAGTCTGGGAACAAGAACAGTTCATCCATTGAACTAGGAATAAAGTTGTGGTCTATGGATAAAATTGCAGGTAGCTGGGAAGATGTGATGGTGCTATTACATTGAAATGTTACAAAGGTGCCTGTTTTCTTACTGAAAGTAGAGGATCATAATCATCAGCACAGGGAGAAGAGAGGAGATGAAGTATAGGAAGTTTGAAGAAAGAGAAAGAAAGTGGCCTTTTTCTCTTTATTTTCCTTCCTTTTAGAAAGACCGGAGATTGAATTAGCTAAGGATCAATATACAATAGGTTTGTCAGACAGCAACAGGACCATCTTGAAGTTAATAGTCAAGAATAGAACAGTCAACATTATGTTTCAGTTTTCTCCAACCACATTCACCTACCCAGCTGCAGGCACAGAGGAATTAATGTTGCATTATATTAGGGTTTGGATTTACCAGGTCAATGGAAGACGCTGAGAGTATAAGTCAAGGAGTGATTCTAATAATTGACCATGGAATCCAAGCAGACAAAGAAGTGATGAATGACAGAAAGGATATAAAGGACAACAAACCATGAAATTTATAAAACAAATTATTAGAGATGAAACTTTTTTAGAAAGGGAAGCTGAATCCTGGAAAGGAAGAATAACTTGCAAGATCCATCTGAAATGAAGATTACATATAATATAAATCAGCTGAACAACAGGATACAATCCAACAGCAACAACAAAAGTTTCCATAAACTCATTTCAACTAATTGTATTGCAGATGTTTTTAGGTGTTTTGTAAAATAACAGTTTTATTAAGATATATTTAAACACCATAAAGTACATCCTTTTAACATACAATTCAGTGGTTTTTAGTATATTCTAAAAGTAGTATACCAATCATCACTATCTAATTCCAGAATATTTTTATCACTCCCAAAAGATATCCCATATTAATTAGCAGAAATTACCCATTATTTCCTATCTTCACCCCAGCAATTACTGTACTATTTTCTGTCCCCGGGGATTTGCCAATTCTGGAGATATCATATAAACAAAATCACACAATGTGTGGCCTTTTGTGTCTGGCTTCTTTGACTTAGCATAACGTTTCTAAGGTTCATTCATACTGTAGCATATATCAGAACTTCCTTTTCTTACAACTGAATAATATTCCGTCATATGAATATACAACATTTTATTCATCCATTCATTGGTTGATGGGCATTTGAGTTGCTTTCACTTTTTCACTTTTTGGTTATTAAAAATAATGCTCCTCAGAACATTCACATACAGGAATTTGTGTAGACATATGTTTTTAATTTTCTTGGGTGTAAATCTGGGAGTGGAATTGCTGGGTTGTACGACAACACTATGTTTAACCATTTGAGGAACTGCTAAACTATTTTCTAAAGCAAATGCACAGTTCTACATTTTTATTAATAGTGCATGACAATTCATACAGGAATGTATGAGGATTCTAGTTTCTTCATACCCTCCCAAATACTTTTTAACTGTCATTTTTATTGTAGTCTCCTATAATATGTAAAGTGGTATCTCTTTGTGGTTTTAATTAGTATTTCCTGAAAGACTAATTATGTTGAGCATCTTTTCTTGTGCTTATTGGCCATCTGTTTATCTCCTTTGGAAAATGTCTATTCAAATCCTTTGTCCATTTTTAATTGAGTTTTTTTGAACTGTTGAGTTTTAAGAGATTTTAATATATTCAATGTATAGTTTCCTTAGCCAATTTATGACTTGAAGATATTTTCTCCCATTCTATGAGTTGTCTTTTCACTTTCCTTAAGTCCTTTGAATCACAAAAGCTTTTCATTTTTATGAAGTCCAATTTATCTATTTTTTCATTTGTTATTTATACTTTTGGTGTCATGTGAGAAATTATTGCTAATCCAAAGGCACAAAAGTTTACTCCGGTTTTCTTCTAACAATTTTATAGTTTTAGCTATATGTTAAGGTTTACTTATGTTTAGATTTCTAATCCATTTTGAGTTCATTTTTGTATATGGTGTGAGGTAGGGGTTCAACTTTATTCTGTCCCAGTGGATATATAGTTATCCCACTGTCATTTGTTGAAGGGACTATTCTTTCTTCATTTGTCTTGTCCTCCTTATCAAAAAATAAATTGTTCATAAATGAAAGGAGTTAGTTCTGGAACCCCAAACCTATTCCATTGATAGATATTTCTATCCTTTCACCAGTGCCACACTATCTTGATTACTGTAGCTTTGTAGTAAGGTTTGAAATTGGAAAGTGTGAGTCCTCCAACTTTGTTTTATTTCAGATTATTTTGTCTATTCTGTGTTCCTTGCATTTCCATGAATTTTAGGATCAGCTTGTCAATTTCTGCCAAAAAAACAGGTAGAATTTTAATAGACATTGCATTAAATCTGTTTATCACTTTGGGGAATATTGCTATCTTAACAATACTGAGTTTTCCAAAGCATAAATATGTGGTGTATGTCCATCTATTTAGGTCTACTTTAATTTGTTTCAACAATGTTTTGTAGTCTTCAGTGTATGACTCCTGTACTTCTTTTGTTAAACTTATTTCTAGGAATTTTATTCTCTTTTTAAGAACACAGTTTCTCTTTATGCTATCTTAAATTGAATTGTTTACTGAATTTTATCTTTGGATTTTTTATTGCAAGAGTATAAAAATACAATTGATTTACGTACATTGATCTTCTGTGCTGCAACCTTGCTGAACCCATTTATTGCATCTAATAATTCTCTAGTGGGTTAGTTAGGGTTTTCTATAAACAATATAATGTCATCTGTAAATAGAAATAATGACAGCTGTTCTTATCAAACTAACAGAGAAACAGAAAACCAAATACCACATATTCTCACTTATAAGTGAGAGCTAAATGATGAGAACACATGGACACATAGAGGGGAATAACACATACTGGGGCCTATGGGAGGGTGGAAGGTGGGAGGGGAAAGAGGATCAGGAAAAATAATTAATGGGTGGTAGGCCTAATACCTGGGTGATGAAATAATATGTACAACAAACCCCCATGACACAAGCTTACCTATGTAACAAACCTTCACATGTATCCCTGAACTTAAAATAAAAGTTTTTAAAAAAGATTATTCTTAGTATGACACACAGGACACACTGAGTTGCTCTTAGAATATTAGTAGTCATCATTATGGTTATTGGAGTGATGCTAAGAAATGTGCAGTACTGTCTGGGAGTGGTGAGCTTTGGCTCATTCTGAACTGCACTGTTCTTCAAGAAAAAGAAGAGATAGCTCTACTTCTTTCTTTCCAATCTGGATGCATTTTATTTCTTTCAAATAGCAAATGGAAAGGGTCCAGGCTTTCACCATTAAGTATGATGTTAGCTTTGGGTATTTCATAGATGACCTTAATGAAGTTGAGGAAATTCCTTTCTAATCCAAGTTTATTTAGTGTTTTTTAACTTGAAAGGATGTTGTCTTTTGTCAAATTCTTTTTCTGTGCCTATTGAGATGATCATGTGATTTTTTGTCCTTTATTCTATTAATACACTGTATTACATGATTGATTGTCATAGGTTAAATCAACCTTGCATTCCTGGGATGAATCCTACTGGTAATTGTGCATAATATTTTTTTATATATTGATGTATTCAGTCTGCTAGTATTTTGTTGAAGAATTTTGCATCTATTTCATAAGGGATGTTGATCTGTAGTTTTCTTTTCTTGTGATGCCTTTGTCTGATTTTCATATCAGGATAATAATGCCCTCATAGAATAATTTTGGAAGCATTCCCTCCTCTTCTATTTTTTTTTTTTTTTTAGTAGTATGAAAGACTGTTGTTAATTCTGCTTAAAATAGTAGTGAATTTGTCTGTGAAGCCATTTGGAACTGTGCTTTTCTTTGTGGGAAGTTTTTGACTGCTAATAAAATATATTCGCTTATTATTAGTATATTTAGTTGTTTGTTTTTTTGGTTTTTTGGTTTCAGTTTTGGTACAGGGTCTCGCTCTGTCACCTAGGCTGGAGTGCAGTGGTGTGATCACAGCTCTTTGCAGCCTTGATCTCCCAACTTCAAGTGATCCTCCTGCCTCAGCCTACAGAGTAGCTGGGGCTACTGGTTCACACCACCACACCAATCTCATTTTAAAATTACTTTTGGTAGAAACAGGTCTCACTATATTGCTGTGGCTAGTCTCAAATTTCCTGGCTCAATTGATCCTCCCACCTCGGCCTCCCCAAGTGCTGGGACTATAGGTGTGAGCCACAGCACCTGGCCTAGATTTTTTATTTCATTTCTATTGTCAGTTTTAGGAACTCAAAGATTTTGTCTTTCTGAGAATTCTTTCTAGAAATTTGTTCATTTCATCTAGGTTATCTGATTTGTTGACAAAGAATTTTGATGATAATTTTCGTATTTCTTTATAATCCTTTTTTATTTCTATAAGTAGTCATATCATTTTATTTCTATAGGTAGTCATATCATTTTTGCATTACTGATTTTAGTAATTTGATTTTTCTCTCGTTTTCTAGGTCAGCCCAGGTTTTTCACTTTTGTTGATTATTTTCAAAGAATTGACTTCTATTTTTCTAATTTTCTCTATTTTTTCTATTATTTATTCCATTATTTCCACTAGTCTTTATTATTTCCTTTCATCTGCTTTATTTGGATTTATTTTGCTCTTCTTTTTCTAGTTTCTTAAGGTAACAAGTTAAAATCTATGTACTGGAGATCTTTCTCCTATTTAATATAGATGTTCATAATCATAAATTTCCCTTGAAATATTGCTTTACCTGTATGTATCTCCTAAGTTTTGGTATGTTGTGTTTTTATTTTCATTTATCTCAGCTTATTTTCTAATTTACCTTTGTGAATTCTCTTTGTGAGTTCTTCTGTTAGTTATTTAGAAGCGTATTAATTTCAACTTATTTGTAAATATCCTAAGTTTACTTTTGTTCTTGATTTCTAATTTCATTCCATTATGGGCAGTAAACATAATTATGGTCAGTGAACATATTTTGTATGATTTCAATCTTTTTAAATTTATTGAGATTTATTTTACGGCCTATTAATAAATTGTCTATGCTGGATAGTGTTTAATGTGCAGTTGTGAAAAATGTATATTCTACTGTTGGTGGAGTGTCCTATAGATGTTAGCTCCTAATATGGTTTGGCTGTGCCCCTACCCAAATCTCATCTTGAATTGTAGTTCCCGTAATCCCCATGTGTCATGGGAGGGACCTGGTGGGAGGCAATTGAATAATGGGGGTGGTTACCCCCATGCTGTTCTCGTGATGGTGAGTGAGTTCTCATGAGATCTGACGGTTTTATAAGGGGCTTTCCCCCTTTGCTCGGCACTTCTCCTTCCTGCTGCCATGTGAAGAATGATGTGTTTGCTTCCCCTTTTGCCATGATTGTAAGTTTCCTGAGGCCTCCACAACCCTGGGGAACTGTGAGTCAATTAAACTTATTTCCTTTACCAGTCTTGGACAGTTCTTTGTAGCAGCATGAGAACTGACTAATACAGTTCAAGTTTGTTGCTAAGTCTGCTATTTCTTTATTAATCTGCCTAATTGTACTATCCACCATTGAAAGAGCGGTATTGAGGTCTCCATTATTGTCGAATTATCTATTTCTCCCTTCAATTCTGTCAGTTCCTGCTTCACATATTTGGGGACTCTGTTATTAGGTGCACATATGTTTATAGTTGTATATCTCCCTGATGGATTGACCCTTTTGTCATCATAAACCCCTTAGGGTTTTTTGGTAACAACTTTTGTCTTAAAGCCTACTTTCCCTGGTAGTAGCATAGGAAAACCAGCTCTCTTTTGATACTGTTCAAATCTACAGTGAACTGAATTTTGTCCCTCAGAATTCACATATTGAACCCTAACCTCTGATGTTACTGTTATCTGTAGATGGAAATATTGGGAGATAATTAAGGCTAAATGAGACAGATTCTAAGAATGGAGCTTTTCAGTGAACTTCCAGATGGGGAAAATAGTACAATTCTCTGGATATGAGACTTGGGGGAGCTCAAAATCCAATCTAGACCCTTCAGTAGCTACTATCAGGCCCCTGGTTTTACAATAACTGTAGTCACAGAGTTCTTGATTCTCAAGGGAAGGCTACCATGGAGATGGGGAAAGAGAGATTTCATCAGGGCAAGTTAAAAGCCTCAATTCTTATCAGGATTTAGCACTAGATTTCAAAGATTTGGCATCAAAACATATTTAGCAATATGACATATTATAATACCAAATGTCTATCTTATAACCTCTATTATTATTACCAGCATTAAAGTATAATTTTAAAAAGGTTGGAAAAATTTGTATTCTCATACAAATATAAAGTGAGCATGTATCAAATATGTAATTTAATTTAAATATTAAATTCATAAGGAAACTGGACAGAAATCTATAAATTAGTCTCTGGCACCAAAAAGTTGTAAAATACACTAGTCAAGAGAAAGTCAAGCCCAACATTACACTGAAAGTACACCCGGTGATCTCTTTTGTCTATTTCCAAACTTTGAATAATTTTCTGTTAATCTCGCTCTTTGGTATTATCTCCAAATATTAATAATCACAAAATGGCTGGCCTTACTAAGGTTTAGACCAACAAAAATTTTAATAGTTACACAGACCTCTTTGAGTTTACTCTGCAAATCTAGAGCCACTCAACATCAAGCAACTACAAATGCAAGATAACTGATTTTTGTCTGGAGATTTTCATAAAGAATCTTGGATTTAATTGTTAAGTCTCTATTATTTGCCCTTCTATCCTGAGCCTAGCAAGCCAGAATACATTCTTCACCAGATTCTACCTACAGTACCTATAAATTTGAATGAATGTTTCTCTTTTTGAGTCTCCCAAGATTTGCTCAGGAGTGGCCTGCTAAGGAGTGCCTTATCACCTGAGATAAGAATCTTCTATTCCAGGCACCATGCCAGTTTTCTTAAGAGGGCTATGTACTCATAGGCTCCTCTTATAAAATCAATCCTTGCTGTTTATCAGTGGGCTTGTCATACCTGATTAAATGAGATTTATTGTCAAGTGTGGCACTCCAGGTACAGCTTTGTTTGCATAATTGATTTGGCAATTATGTATTGGTAGAAAAGAAAACAGGTTTCATGGTTTGGCTCTGTGTCCCCACCCAAATCTCATCTCAAACTGTAATCCCCACGTGTTGAGGGAGAAACCTGGTGGGAGCCAATTGGATCATGGGGCAGTTTCCCCAACACTGTTCTTGTAATAGTGAGGGAGTTCTCACAGAATCTGATGGTTATATTAGGGGATCTTCCCCATTTCACCCTCTCTCTCTCTCTCCTGCCATCGTGTAAGAAGGTGCCTGCTTCCCCTTCACCTTCCACGATAATTGTAAGTTTTTTGAGGCCTCCCCAGCCATGCAAAACTGTGAGTCAATTAAACTTGCTTTCTTTATAAATTACCCAGCCTCAGATATTTCTTTATAGCATAAAAAATTGACTAATACAAGGTATGTATATAAACTATAGGCTGAGCACAGTGGCTCATGCCTCTAATCCCAGCACTTTGGGAGGCCAAGGTGGGTGGGTCACTTGAGGCCAGGAGTTCAGGAACCAGCCTGACCAACATGGCAAAACCCTGTCTCTACTAAAAAATACAAAAATTAGTTAGGTGTGGTGACTCATGCCTGTAATCCCCAGCTACTCAGGAGGCTGAGGCCAAAGAATCGCTTGAGCCCAGGAGGTGGAGGTTGCAGTGAGCCGATATTGTGCTACTGCACTCCAGCTTGGGTGACAGAATGAGACTTTGTCAAAAAAAAAAAAAGAGAATATATATAAACCCCATTGCCATGAAAAGTAAAAAGATTCAGTAAAAGGGGGGTCAGTGAAACTCAAATACCATTTCTTAACATTTCATTTCAATTTTTAAAAGCATAATCTACCAAATGGATTAGACAGAAATGGCTTAAGATGAAGGAAAATGGACTTCCTCACATATCCATGAAAAATAGAACATTTCAGGTAATATCAAAAATAACCACCCCCCCAAAAAAAATCAATTCTATTTCTCTCGTTATTGATGTGGTTCTTGCTTCAGAAGTCAGATTTTAGAAGTACATTGACTTCCAGTCTGGAAAAAGTCCCGAAAATCCTGACTCAGGTACAATCTGAAAATTGTCTAAGCAGGGTCAGTTGAAGACCTGTACCAGTGTTACCAGGAAGTGCAGGAATATTCGGTTCTTAGTCTTACTTGGAGAAAGAATTCTGCCAAGCAACTGATTTAGCCTAAAAAGAGAATGTATTGAAGGAAAATAGAAAGCAGAGAGTTTATTTAGAGACAGTATACTCTGAAAAGGTTAGGCAGAGTGGACTGCTGAAGGGAGTGGGCCTGCAGAAGCCTGAGAGTCCCGCTGGTGGGTTTTGATGCTGTAGGATTTTCTCTTGAGTTTCCTGCCTCTGTTTCAAGTCTCTACCCGTTTTCTGTCTTGAGTTTTCCCATTCCTGCCTTAAGCCCCTCCTTCTCCCCCGCCTAGTTCCCACCCCAGCTTTGTGGAATCCTTCTCTCCTATTAGTTGGTGCACATGCGTGGGCCCGGTGTTGGATACAAATTGCGCCTTGTATCTCTTAGGAATTTCTTCTTTGCCCTCTTCCCCTTATCAGCATGCATCTAGCTACATTCTGACAGGTTAACTGCAAGGTGAATGATTACTGAGCATCTTAAGGGGCGTTTCTTTCTGCACTGGTATTTTCCTTTTCTCAGGGGCTCCCCTCTCGGCTGTTGTTTGGCTATCTGCATACTCTAACACCAAGAGTTTATTTTTTGAGGCACCCAATAATTCAGAGTATCTGGTAAAGTTTTTTCTGCCAGGGTCTGAGTCAGTCCATCTATGTTGAAAATACAAACTATAGCCAGAAGCTATAGCCTGTTCTTCAAGCAAGTATTAGAGAGAAACAGAAACTTGTTTGAGAGTGAGACTGAGTAGCTGTGGTTATTTTAATCCAGTGACCAATAACATGAGTGTGGAGCACATTACTATTTCCTAAGAAGCTGATAACTGTTTCCCTTGAGGGTAAAACCCTATTATGGATTACTAAAGCATTGAAAAATCTCCATGGGCTTCCCATAAAGTGTGCAATTTGTGAAACATCTCTATGAGCAGCACATTTCCTATACAAATGTAACCTAGGATAGACTGGGCATCTTTTCTGATTTGACTATTCTTCCTATACAGCTTTTATAATAATGTTAATCTAATTAAGAAATATGGAGCACACCAAACAAATCTAATTATTTTAGCATACTTTTTTATAAGGCACAAAATAAATTATTGCAAATTTCCAGGGGCTTTGTATGAAATTTCAAAAATAACCTCAAGTGTGAAAAAAATCCTGAAATTTTACTTTATTTTTTCTTAATTTGAAATCCAGCATTGATAAAGGCAAAACGTGTTTAAAAATATGGTAGTTTGATTAATATTGGATTATGGATCTCTGAGAAATAACATTTGGTTATCTATTTAGTCAAGGTGACAATAAAATATTTTCAAATGGATATAAAAGCACATTATGGAAATTTAGCTCTTTGTAAGTGAGGAGATATTCTTCCTTTAACAGAGTACATTACAAAGCCAACCAAAAACAGAGCTTATTCTGATGAGTTATGGAATATATTGGGTAGATTACATGGAGGGTAAAGCTCTGACATCAATTTTTTTATCTTACCAAAGAGATAGCCATATTCTAGTTTTACATTAATATATTTGGCAGTAAAAGTTTTGTAAGTTCCTTTTTTCTCCTTAAATCAGCATGTCCATCAAAATTGTATGAACTTTGCCAAATTTAACAAATTTTACAGGTCCTTTACAGGCTTAAAAGTATTATAGTGGGGCTCAACGGAGCAGGCCTGTAGTCCCAGCTCCTGGAGAGGCTGAGACAAGAGGGTTGCATGATCCCAGGAGTTCTAGGCTGCAGTGTGCTATTCCAATCTGGTGTCCACACTAAGTTCAGCATTAATATGGTGACCTTCCGGGAGCAGAGGACCAGCGAATTGCCTAAGGAAGGGTGAGTTGGCCCAGGGTAGAAACAGAGCAGGTCAAAACTCCCATGCTTGAAGTGGGATTACTCCTATGAATGGCCACTGCATTCCAGCCTGGACAATATAGCAAGACCTCATCTCTTCAAAAAAAAAAAAAAAGTGTTATAAACCAAAGCAGATGAATTTACCCCTTTCAATCCTCTCGACATTTGTCTTCTCCCTCTGCTCTGATCTTTCACTATGCTCTTTCATGTTCTAGAACAGAGCGGCCCTTTAAAACAAAGGCACTCTCCTTTTTCTATGAAAAATATAATCATATACCCAGTTATAGTTCTCCTAACATAGCCTCAACCATCCAAATTAATTATAACTTTTAACTAAAGTAACAATTCTGTTTTACAGAAAGAACCAAAAGGTAGTTAATCTGTCGTTAACAGACAAGCAAATCTCATGCATACTAATAATTTAGTACTTCACAACCACACACCTCTTTTTTATCCCTTTCTTCTTCCTTACGTTAATAATGAAGCAAAAACGAACATGTTCATCAACATACCGCAAAGACACGTCCACTCTATAGAGTATAGTAAAATCAGAAGCAAAAGTTAATAAACTTACAATTATGCTTAATGATCAAGGGTTCAGTAGTCTATCTTAATTGTAAAGTATCCAGCTATTCAAAGATTATTCAAAAAGTAACTCAATTTAACATTAGTACAAGTAGCTGAATTACCTAAGGATTCTGGAAATCATATTTAAGTTAACACACTCTAAAACATGACTACCATTATGAAAGTGTTTGTTGGAATTATTATTAAATTCAGTTTAACACAAATTTGCATTATTCATAATCTTAATCAGTACGTAGGAGTAATGTTAACTCTTTTGTCAGGAAGCCAATATAACAAGGCTTGGAAGTTCATCTGAACATGTCTTTTCATGAGAAAACAAACAGAACCCTTTTTTTATTTTTTGAGTATGCTTATTTCACATTCCGTCATGAATAACTCAAGAAAAAAAAACAAAAAGCTATGATTGATTTTTAAGCCAGAATTATTAATTCAGTCTGATTTGTCCAAATACCAATCATAATTATAGAAACTTAGACTTTACTAAAAAAATGATTTTGAGCTAGCGGCTTATGTAAGGATGTTCTTTCCTTAAAAGTCTAGCACATTTAACATAATTAGAAGTTTAGTCTCTTTATTTTTGCAAATTTAGTAAATATTGTATTTTTGTAACCACTTATTTATCTATTAAACCAGTCAGAAAAATTTTCAGTAATTTCAGAAACATAATCTAATGTATTAACACTTTCCAGAGTTAGAAAAACATTTCACACACAATGAGAGGTACAGGCTTTTCTGATCACAGGCACACAGTTTTTAGTCTGTTTTACAAACCAGTCACAGATATGAAGTGAACACATGAGCAGAAAACCACAAACTACTTTTATTCTGTTCTTGCACCACCACAACAACCAATCAACAACCAGTCTTCTAAATGGTGGGGAGGGGGGCGTCCCCCACATACCTATCAGCAGACACCAGCTGGGTGTCCTCTAACTCAATTCTGATGCTTTCTACCTGGAGATGGCCTCAGATTTTACAGGTTGAGAGCTCAGTCTCCCAAGGCTTCAACCCCCTTCAGACACCAGTTGTAAGTTCCAGCCTCTGGAACTTCTGACTGGCCCACTTCAAGTTGGGGTTCTCACAATTCCCTCTTTGGGTGCAATTAATTTGCTAGGGTGGCTCACAGAACTTAGGGAAACTTACTTATATTTATGAGTTTATTATAAAGGATATTACAAAGGATACAGATAAAAAGATGCCTGGGGGAAGGGGCAAGGGGTGTGGAGCTTCCATGTTCTCCTCGGGCATGCCACCCTCTGGCAACCTCCATGTATTCAACTACCTGAAAGCTCTCAAATTTCTGTTTTTTGTGGGTGTATATGAGGGATTCATTATGTAGGCATGACTGATTAAACCACTGGCCGTTAGTGTCAACAAATGTTCAGCCCCTCTCTCCTTCCTGGAGGCTGGGATGTGGGCTGAAAGTCCCAACCCTGTAATCCTGCCTTGGTCTTTTTGGTGACCAGTCTCCATACCGAAGCTACTTACAGGCTGCCAGTCATCAGTCAAAAACTTAGCATACAAAAAGACATCATTTTTGAGTTTCTACAGCTTTTATGAGCTATATGCCAGGAAATGGGGTCAAAGACCAAATATATTTTACAAAATACCACAGCATAATAATACAAAAACTCATGAGTCTAGAGCTCAAACCACTTTTTTTTCCTTAGTGGGCATAAAATTTTTAACTGATTTGCGCTCATGAATACACGCAAATAAAATGAACGAACAAGCTGGATTCTGTTTTCTCTCACCCAGCAAAGAATGGATTTCCATCTTCCTTCCACAGTGTCAGCTGAAGAATCATGACTTTCATAGACTTGGAGAGGAGAGCTTTATTTCTTATAAAGGGTTGCAGCCTGCAGAGTGGCCATCCTGACAGACTGGGAAGTGTACCCTCCAGCAGAGACTGAGAGCAGGCATTTTGAAGGAGGGAAGGTGAAACAGGAATTTATGCTGAACAGATTGGCTAAGTATACATACTCAACAGGTTATAGGAGAAGCTATGAATACTCACAAATAGGGGGACACGCAATTGTGTAGTAAGCAAATATACATGTTACATATGTCCCTTGTTTACTTTAGGGTGGAAACCTAATATTTAAATGCATTACAATTAGGCCCTGTGCATTAAGAGGTGAAGCAGAGGACACAAAGACACTCAGTGCTCAGCCTCTGTAAACAGACAAGAACCAGTCCATGGCTGGTGTTCTCTTATCAGGACAAAGTTACTGAAATCAGTCTCTTGCCCAATCAAAACTGTAGTTATAGCCTGTTGAAGAAAGAGGTCAGCTTGTTGAACAAAGAGGCAGTAGGTGAGCCACAATTGCTTCTGTATTACTTATCTCAAAGTCAGTACTTATTTAGCCACTGAAGAAAAAGAACATTGTGATACTTAGAATACAGTTTATTCTTCATGTATAAAGGTGCATAACTTAACACTTGCCTGGCATGGGCTTAGCTCGTTTATAATTTGGTATCTTATTGCCACAGAGTCCATTCCATCAGTCTAATGATCTCTGTTTTAACAACAGCAATCACCAAATGGTCAGATCATAAAGCCAAATTCACAGTTTTAACTGCCACTCATAGGGAATAACATGCTGGCCATGAGAAAATCAGGCAAGTAAGCAGGGAATGAAACTAGAGGGAAAAAGAGAGTCAGAAAAGTTTGAAGTTCTCCTATCACTTGAAATTCACACTGGGAGCCAAGAAAACATGTACCTGGGATTAGTAGCCCATAAGGTATACAACAGGCAACACAATTTACTTATCTCTGTTAGGTGAGTTTTATTTAGCACATCAATGGATGACTGCCAAAACTGTTAAAGAATAATCCCCAAGGCCAGGCACAATGGCTTACGCCTGTAATCCCAGCACTTTGGAGGCTGAGGCAGCCAAACCACCTGAGCCCAGGAGTTTGAGATCAGCCTGGGTGACATGGCAAAACCCCAGCTCTACTAAAAATACAAAAATTAACCAGGTGTGATGCCAAGCACCTGTAATCCCAGTTACTTGGGAGGCTGAGGCATAAGAATCACTTGAACCCAGGAGCCAAAGAGATCATGCCACTGTACTTCAGCCTGGGCAACAGAGCAAGACCCTGTCTCAAAAAAAAAAAAAAAAAAAGAAGAATTCCCAAAATACTAAAAAAAATGATTTCATATGAATATAAAACAAATATTTCCCAAAGCTTTTATTTAACTTACTAGTTAATGGGAAACATATTAAATATATTGAAGCAGGCCCAAAGAACATTTAAGTAGCAAGATATATGTAAGGAATTTAATAAAAGAATATTAAGGTTAGATATCTGGCTTAGATGCAAAGGTGGTTAATGTCTTTCTGCACCATGAATTGTAACTTTTGCTGTATCTGTTCCAATGGACAGAAATTGTTTGCTTGTCTACCAGACAAAAATCTATAACTTATCTTCTGTTCCCACTGAGTTATAAAATACCCTATCAATAGAAAACTGAGCCCAGTACTGCCCTGAAGAAATATCTAATAGTCTCTTTTATCTATTTCCAAGTTTTGGATAATTTTTCTGATTATCCACTTTCTGTTATAATAATTACCCCTTTTTACCTTGCATAAGATCAGTAAGTATACAAAGTCTTTTCCTGATCTAGACTCAGCCTTTGAGTTTTTGTAATTTTTTGCCTTGGCTCTCTTCCCAGGAACTGCATTTCAATTCCAGAATCCCAAGAGGCAAATTTGATTGGTCTGGCCCATATTTTCACTTCAGGTCAAAAGTTTTGGCCAACCTATGGATGAGATCATTTAGATCTGTTTTATTCTCCTTATCTAATTAGCTATAGCTGGAGTACAGCAATGGCAGGAAGTGGAGACTATTACTTAAGTAAAGAGCTAAAAGTGGGGCAGGTCCCTATAGTGATGATAATACATCAGGAAGAGAGTCAGTCCCACATAGGAGGATTAAGGAGGACCTCAGAGAGGGCAGGGATTTTCAAATATTTACAATTTCAAGGCTTAGAAAAATGAGAGACCATGAACAAAGTCAAGGATGTCTAACATTGGACACTCGTTCTCTCTGCTTTCTCTTTATTCTTGTGTGTCCAGAATCTGCCTTTTTAACTTTTCCCTTGGCCCACACCCAATTCTAGGTCTTTCTTCTGGGAAATACTTAAGCTGTCCCTAAAGTGCTTATGTTTATTTTTTTAACACAGTTAATTTTTAAGTATCATGGTTGATTATGTTGAATTCTTCAGGTATAGGTATCCAGAGCTAATGATAAATGCCCTAGAGTATGTCAGATAAGCACTTGCTCACCTTTTAGTTATTCTGCAAAGTAATAATATCTTGGAGGAATGAATTGGAAAAACTCTGTCAGATTAAAATCTTATTATAATAAACCATTGGGAGCATGACTGTACATAGGTAATGCATTTTTAAATTCCTTGCAACTATTGTAACAGTCTAGAGATTATTAACATGGAAAGAATATTAAAAATGTAATTTGCTTCTCATATTTTATTGCCCTAGTTTATTTTGTGTGTTTTGCTAAGCTTGGGTGATTTGGGACTCTTGTTCATCATCAGTAAAATTCTTTGCTATCTTGTTGATTATGCTGCCAAAAAGGCTTCGGGAAGAATGATCTTACCAGCTTCCATGAATTTGTTCCAAGGACTTTTATAAGGAATGACTTCACAAATGGGGGCATAGCTCAGTAGGGAAGAGAAAAAGAAAACAGAGGTGTGTTTTAAAATGTTTCCTAGGTGCTTCTGATATTGTGATATGGTTTCCTATGGAGAACAGCTACTTGAAATTGTTTGAAATGACTATAAACAGATAAATTAAGTGTAAAACTTAAGGAGTAAATCTATAAAAACCGATTTTTAAAAAAGCAACTCTAGAAACTTAGGTAGATAATACCTAAAAAGTTAAAATTATGACTCAGAGGGAATAGAAATCAAGGCTTATAGTATTTCGACTCCCAAGAGGAGCATTGGTAAGTTTGTGGAATTTTCTTGTTTTGTTTTGTTTTTTTTTTCTTTACAATGTATCAGGTTTTTCAGTGGGAAAAACAAGAAAATAATGTGATTCCTTTCAGGATTTATTTGTAAAATTTCCTGTTTTCACACATACCTAAAAAGGTCAATGTTTCTGATTCTCTTGTATTCAAGTCCTATAAGGAAGTAAACTGTTCACTAACGCTTTTTTTTTTTTTTTTTTTTTGAGACAGTTTCGCTCTGTCACCCAGGCTGGAGTGCAGTGGCGCGATCTTGGCTCACTGCAACCTCTACCTCCCGGGTTCAAGTGATTCTCCTGCCTTAGCCTCCTGAGTAGCTGGGACTACAGGCAAGTGCCACCATGCCCGGCTAATTTTTGTATTTTTTGGTGGAGACGGGGTTTCACCGTGTTAGCCAGGATGGTCTCCATCTCCTGACCTCGTGATCCACCCGCCTCGGCCTCCCAAAGTGCAGGGATTACACGCGTGAGCCACCGCGCCCGACCTACTAATGCTTTTAATAACAGACCAAATCACACACCCCAAAGAAAAAAACAAAAACAAACAAACAAAAAAACACCCAAAACATACTGAGGCCCAGGTGGTGACATTTGAGAGACAGTGTGGTGTAGTCAAGGGAGATCAGGGGTGCAAATGTGAAGACAAGGGTCCATTTCCAGTGTGTCTTTTTGTTACATGTCAATCATGTAACTTCTCTTTAGCTTACTTTCCTCTTCTATCTGAGGAATAAAATAGTTTCTTATCTACTTCACATCATAGGAGAGAAAACCTATGTGATAACATCAAGTAAACTATAAAGCACCAGTTTCCAATTTGCTATGTAAATATAAGGAATTGTAAATATGATGGCACCAAAACGTAACCTGGTCAAACAAATCACTTAAAGAGTTCAATCATTATTTTTCAACTATGTCTCCTGAATTGCTTCCAAAACTTTGGAAAAGTGACCTATTAGCTTCCTAGATTATCAGAAGTTCTTTTAACACATTAGTAATCCCATCTGTTGGTTATCTATTTGGAAACTATGCTCAATTAAATATCTGTGTTGGTTTCTTTGTGTGGTTCTTCTGCTTTAGGGCATTGGATCACCTCAGAGTCAAGTGTCTTTCTGGCCAGCCCGTGTGGAGAGACCGAAGAGCTAAAGAGCAGCAGGTTATCTCCTGGGTATAATATATCTGTTGCGGTGTTTCAAAATGGTCAATGAAACCAGACGGGCATTTTCTCATAAGCAATAAGACATGCTTGGCACATAGAACCTGCTCCATAAATGTTAACTGTATATTAGACTATGTTTTCATGATCTTCATTGCATAAAATTTCCCATATATGGAGCACACACATTGCCCTGCTCATCTGTATTTCTTCCCAGCTGTCTTGAGGTTTCTTCTGGTGGATGACAGCACAGGTCAGCAGAACACATTGGCATAAAGAGGGGTTGTGGAGTATAACTACAGTAAATAAAACATTCTAAGTGGAGATATTTAACAAGTCAAGAAATCAGCTCTTTAGCTTTCTTATTCTTTGTTCTTTACACTAGATTAATCAAAATTAACCCAGCCTAAGGAGAATCGCTTAAACCCAGGAGACAGAGGCTGCAGTGAGCCAAGACTGCGCCTCTGCACTCCAGCCTGGGAAACAGAGTGAAGCTCTGTCTCAAAACAAACAAACAAACAAAAAATTAACCCAGCCTAAACCATTAGAAATCCCTTAAAATTGGCTGCAGTTCAGCAACCTTGCAGTTTAGCAGACTAAAGAGAAACATCATTAAATTCTGTTAATACAGAAATCAAATGAGATTATCAATTGGGATTCCATTTGCAAGTTTTTGTCTCATTCTTTACATGGAAAGGAACTTTCTACAATTGAGAATCTTATCCATTTATTATGTCTGAGTCATAGTGTTCCATGAAAGGGCCATATATGCAAAGCAACCTGCAAACACATAAAGGGCCAAGAAACTAAAGAACGAGGCAGGAAAATTCCATGTATTGGTAAAGCATGATTTATTGGGTGACTTTTGGACAGAACCATGGTCTTGGGAAGCAGGACAGGTAGATCTCTGTACCATTACTTCCCAAATTCAGGACTTATATGCCATTGGAAACGTGCTCTATAGAGAAAAAGGCAACTCTCCAGAACAGGAAAGCATGCTATGTGCATCATAAGACTATGCACAGAGTCTATAATTTGTGCAATAACATCAAGGTCGTTTTGCTCTAAAGGAAGATTTTACACTAAGTGCATGTTTTTACACTAAGGACAGTAAATAAAATAGGAATCAGACAGCTTTAATGGTACTGGAGATAATCAGAAGTCAGCATGACAAATTAGCATCCAAGATGGAGTCATTTTTGTCTTCACACTTAGGTATATACACTAAACAACCCTAAAATTCCTTAAAGAATATAATCATAATTTGTATATAATGAGATAAACAGGCCTTACTTATTGTTTTTCTAAACATTTTTATGTGTATTATCTTGCAAGGAATAAGTAAATTTTAATAACCAATATGCTTCTTAGTTGACTGAAAGATATAGAGTTATGAAAGCTCAATAACTGACAAATCAGATATAAATACCTGAGTTCCAAATTAACGGTTCAGAGGGGTAGAATTTCCCTTTTATTTCCCCAGATTCTTACTGTCCTTTCAAGCCCTCTCTATCAGTATGGTTCGGAAATCACACAGTAATTTAAACAGGGAAATCTTAATATAAAGATGTATTACATTCTCATGTAAGAGTAACTACAGGGTTCAAAGGAAAGCTCTAAAGGGCATCTTAAAACTGATGGAGAATACCAAAAGAAGAATACCTCATTGAAGAAAATGATGGATGGTGAAGAATTTCCCTAGGTTGCCAGCTTCACAGGCTCTAGGTGAATAGAAACAACCCAGAGGGGTGCAGGTGAGCCAAAGTTGGAGGCAGATATGTAGAGGGAGTGTATGCACAGAGGAAAACAGGCACTACTGTGAATGTGAAGCCAGAAGCTCATGATGTCTGCATCAGAAGGCTGTGGAAAGCAAACCTCCAGCAATACAGTCAAGCCAAGGCTAATGGGCAGGCATGCAGAAAGAGTAAGGTGTAACTACGGATGCTCCTGAAACTGGAAGCTGGAAAGGCCTCCTTCTTCCAGAACCTAATGTACTTCTGTGTGTGGCTCTAGGCTGCTGCAGAGGGTAAAGGCCAGGTGGCTAGCTTGCTGGATAGCCAGCTCAATGGGGCCCTTGGTGTATGTGCACTTGGGGCTGAGGACAAGGTGCAGGGAGCAGTGATCTGGACTGTCTGGGGCTCCTGATGATGCCACTGCTGCCCATCCAATGCTTTGAGGACATGAATGACTTCCCTTCTCTGTCCTCGTGTTTATTGTCAGTATGATATTAGGAAGTCATTCATTCAGTAAATATTACCACTGGCTGTGTTTCCCAGGCACTCTCATTGGTGCAGAAACTCTCCTCCAGTGACTCACTTCTTTCAAGCCCCAGGCTGTCATTCATAAAGGGATGTGATAATAATACAAATTCCGAAGGATTGTTCTGACAATTTAAACGAATTAATGTAGGTGAAAGATCTTTATGCAAGTAAAGATGAAGCCATTATCACATATAAAGTGAATATGCTTTCTTTAGCTTTGGACATGAGATCTGTGAAGCCTTTTCTTCTTTAGCCCGTATTTTCAATAAAAGGATTTAAAAATTGGCAGTGAAAACATTCAAATATGAAATTTTATATCTTTTTAAATGTTCTGAAATGAACTCAGTTCCCTTTTGGGTAGTATGATTGCATGTTCTTTTACTATAAAGAAAAGTAAGAGTCACGTTGCTTCATCACAGAGAAAATGGTTTTATATCATTATCTAGGAGTGCCTTTTCCATCAGCTACCCCTATTATTTGATTGCTCCATGAGAAAAAGCTACAGATTAACAATTCTCAAACTAAAAATGAAATCCTTTGTTGTTATCTGTCTTCTAAAGTTCTATAGAACATACCGCCCTACTCATTTAACATAGAAACACATCATGTCCAGGATTATCCAGAAGGGCACAGGGGATGTAGGATTATCCAGACTCAAAACTACTGGGGTTTAAAAGAAAAAAAGAATTTATTATTTTTTAAAATTCTGAAATATATAAAGAAACAAAAGTAAATGAAAAACATAGTTCTACCATGCAGATAGCACATAATGATATCTCTAAGAAAATTATAATAGTACATGAAAATGATTTTAATATTCAAACAATCCAAAGGATGAAAAATAAAAATTAAAGTCCTTCTTCCCACCGGCTGCACTTCCCAAGAACAACCACTGGAATAATTCTTCATGTTTTCATTCAGAAAATGTTCATGCATATATGAGCATATATTTTTTCATATACAAATATTTAAACTATTTGTATTTAATTTATTGTATGTTTACATACAACACCTGTACCTTATATGTTTATTTTTTGCAAATTTTTTTCACGCTAACATATACAGAGCCATCTCATTCTTTTTTCTGGTAACATGATCTTTCATTACTCAAAAGTTCATTTCATTTAACCAATTTTCTACAGGTGAACATTTATAGTCAAATATTTTGTTTTGTTATTACCAATACCACTTTTTAAAATATCATTATAATACTCTGGTTTCTCTTCAGGTTGTATAAATCTTTTGCCTTTTAAAAAATATCATTATATACCTTATTTAATTTTGTACCTGTATCATTGGGTAAATCTTTAGTGCCAGGTTTAGTGTCAGGTTCCTGGCTCAAAAGGGATATTTGTATACATTTTTAGTTAAACTATCAAATTGCCATTTAGAGAAACTGCAATAGCCATTACTATCACCAAAAGTATATCCAAGTACCTTTTGCTTCAAACTATCACAGTGAGTATCATCAAAATCTGTAATTTATCCCAATATGAAAGGTAATTTAAAATGATCTCATTGTCATTTTGACTGTGACGTGGATTTCTTATGAGTAAGATATGAAAGAGTCTTTTTCAATGTGTGCATTGGAAATTCATATTTTTCTGTAAGCATTCTCTTTATGCTATCCCCTAAATTTTTTCTATTGAAGTATTTATTTATTTATTTATTATTACTATATGCTTTGTATACATCAAAGAAGAAGCCCATTGTTGATCTTTTTCTCTTTTTTTAAATTGATGCATAATAATTGTAAATATTTATGGGATACTTGTGCTATTTTGATACATGCATACAATGTGTAATGATGAAATCAGGGTATCTAGGATATCCATCACCTCAAACATGAGTTGTGTCTTTATGTTAGGACCATTTCAAATCTTTTCATCTAGCTATCTTGAAATATGCAATATGTTATAGTTAACTAGTCACCATACTGTGCTATTGAACACTAGGCCTATGCCTTTTCTGTAATGAAATGTTTATACCCATTAACCACTTCCATTCATTCCTTCTTCCACCCTTCCAAGCCTCTAGTAACCACCATTCTACTTTCTACTTCTGTGAGACCAACTTTTCTAGCTCCCAGATATGAGTGAGTTCATGTGATATTTGTCTTTCTGGGACTCATTTACTTAACATAATGTCTCCCAAGCTCATTCAAGTTGCTGCAAATGACACCGTTTCATTCCTTTTTTATGGCTGAGTAGTATTTAATTGTGTATAAACACTACATTTTCTACATGCATTCACCTGCTGTTGGACACTTCAGTTGATTCAATATTTTGGCTATTGCAAATAGAACTGCAATAAACATAGGTGAGCAGATATCCCTTTAACATAATAATTTCCTTTCCTTTGGATAAATTCAGTCATGAGATTGCTGGATTGTATGAGAATTTGATTTTTAGTTTTTTGAGAAACCTTCATATTGTTTTCAATAATGGCTATAATTGCAATTTTTTTATTTTAAGTTCTGGGATACATGTGCAGAACGTGCAGGTTTGTTACATACATATACATGTGCCATGGTGGTTTGCTACACCTATCAACCCGTCATCTAGGTTTTAAGCCCTGCATGCATTAAGTACCAATAGTGTATAAGAATTTGTCTGCATCTTCACCAGCATTTGCTATTTTTTGTTTTTTTGATGGTAGCCATTCCAACTGGGATGAGATGATATCTCATTGACATTTTGATTTGAATTTCCCCAAAGACTGGTGCTATTGAGCATTTTTTTATATACCTCTTGGCCATTTATATGCCCTGTTTTGATAAATGTCCACTTAGATTCTTTGCCCACTTTTTAATGGGAATTATTTGTTTATTTGCTCTTAAGTTGTTTGAATTCCTTGTGTATTCTGGATATTTGTCCCTTATTGGATGAATACTTTGCAAATATTTTCTCCCATTCTATAGGTTATCTCTTCATTCTGTTGATTGTCTCCTTTGCGGTGCAGAAGCTTTTTAATTTCACAATGTCCCATTGGCCTATTTTTATTTTTGTTTCCTGTGCTTTTGAGGATTTAGCCTTAAAATCTTTGCCTAGACCAATGTTGTAAAGCATTTCCCTTATGTTTTCTTTTAATAGTTTCATGGTTTTGGGTTTACATTTAAGTATTTAATTCATTTTGTGTTAATTTTTTATATGATAAGAGATTGGGGTCTAGTTTCATTCTTCTGCATATAGATACCAAGTTTTTTTCCAGCACCATTTACTGAAGGGGATGTCCTTTCCCCAGTGTAGGTGCTCAGCACCTTTGTAGAAAGTCATTTGGCTGTAAATACATGGATTTATTTCTGAGTTCACTTTTCTGCTCTATTGGTCTGTTGTGTCTGTTTTTTCATACCAGTGCAATGCTGTTGTGGTTACTATGGCCTTGTAATATATTTTGAAATCAAGTAGTGTGATGCCTTTAGCTTTGTTCATTTTGCTCAGAACTGCTGTAGCTATTCAGGGTCTTTTGTAGTTCCATATGCATTTTAGGATTGCTTTTCTATTTCTGTAAAGAATGTCACTGGCATTTTGATAGAGATTGCATTTAATTTGTAGATTGCTTTAGGTAGTATGATTAGCAATATTAATTTCTCTGATCCATGAACATGAGACGTATTTCTATTTTGGGTGTGTGTCCTCTTCAAATTTTTTCATCAGTGATTTGTAGTTTTTATTGCAGAGGTCTTTCACCTCCTTGGTTAAATTTATCCCTAGGTATTTTTTTTTTTAGCTGTTGTAAATGGGATTATTTTTTAATTTCTTTTCCTCTAGTTTGTTACTGGTATATAGAAACACTACTGATTTCTGTATGTTGATTTTGTAACCTGCAACTTTTCTTAATTTGTTTATCAGTTCTAAGAGTTTCTTCATGGAATCTTTAAATTTTTCTGTATGAAAGATTATGTCATCTGCAAAGAGGGACAATTGGACTGTCTCTTTTCCAGTTTAGATTCCTTTTATTTCTTCATTGCTCCAGCTAGGACTTTCATTACTATGTTGAATAAAAGTGATGAAAGTGGGCATCCTTGTCTTATTCCAGTTCTTAGAGGAAAAACCTTCAGCTTTTCCCCATTTAGTAGGATGTTAGCT
This sequence comes from Homo sapiens, assembly GCF_000001405.40. Lineage (NCBI taxonomy): Eukaryota > Metazoa > Chordata > Mammalia > Primates > Hominidae > Homo > Homo sapiens. The sequence goes on along the minus strand of NC_000001.11, from coordinate 65,748,073 downwards.
ATGTCTTTGTCATTCAGGTATGTTCCTTCTATGCCTAATTTCTTGAACATTTCTGTCATGATTAAATGGTGAATTTTATCAAATGCTTTTTCTGCATCTATTGAGATAATAATATGGTTTTGTTGATGTGATGTATCACATTTATTAATTTGCATATGTGAACCATCCTTGCATCCCTAAGAAAAACCCACTTGACCATGGTGTATTAACTTTTTGATGTGTTATTTAATTTGGTTTGATAGTATTTTGTTGAGGATTTTTGTATCTATGTTCATTAGAAATATTGGCCTATAGTTTTCTTTTGTGGTTGTGTCCTTGGCTGGTTTTGGTATTCTGGTAATCCTAGCCTTATAAAATAAGTTAGGAAGAATTTCCTCATCTTCAATTTTTAAAAATAGTTTTAGAAAAATTGGTGTTAGTTCTATCAGTTTGGTAGAATTCAAGAGTAAAGTCATCCAGTCCTGGAATTTTCCTTATTGAGAGACGTTTTATTAGTGAGTCAGTCTTGTTACTCATTATTGACCTGTTTTGGTTTTCTATTTCTTCCTGGTTCAATCTTGGTGGTTTCTATGTATCCAGGAATTTATCCATTTATCTAGGTTTTCCAATTTGTTAGCATATGGTTGTTTATAATAGTGTCTAATGACCCTTTGTATTTCCGTGGTATCAGTTGTAACATTTTCTTTTTCATTTCTGATATTATTAATTCAGGTTTCCTCTCTTTTTTTCTTAGTTTAGCAAGCAGTTTATTGATGTGTTTATCTTTTCAAAAAAAAAACTTTTCATTTCATTGATCCTTTGTATTTGTTTGGTCTCTATTCTATTTATTTCTGCTCTGATTTTTTTCTTCTACTAATTTTGGGTTTGGTTTATTCATGCTTTTCTAGCTATTTGGGGTGCACCATTAAGTTATTTGAAATCTTTCTACTTTTTGATGTAGGCATCTATTACTATAAACATCCCTCTTAGCACTGGTTTTGCAACATCTCATAGGTTTGGGTATGTTGTGTTTTCATTTTTATTTGTTTCAAGAAATCTGTCATGTTTCTCATGCCCTTATGTTGATATCTGATGTGACAGTGGCTTCTAATTTTGTGGATTGGTTTTCATAGGGAACAACTTTTGCCTGTAGATATATTCGTAGTGTTTATCAGATAGGGTCCTTTGCTTTGTCTTCAATTCTGGATGTACACAGTAGTGTAGTCTCTGTATGGTTTAGTCAGCTGTTACCAGCATGAGTGATGTCTGTAACTGCCTCAGTAGCTTAAGCTGTGATTGTTAATAAAAGCTATGGTAAGGCTTTACTTAGGATGGGGATCCCAGGTGAGCCAGTCCTTGGGAACCAGTGGTAGTAGAATAGGTATGCCAGTCCTTGGGCCTCTGGGTGATGTGTGGCATTGGCAGTGACAGTAGCAGCAGTAGGCCAATCATTGGGCCCCCAAGCTGTGCATGCAGGTACAAGTTGCAGCAATGGAATGAGTGGGTAGGTCGCCAGGCTCCCAGTGGCATAACAGGTGAGCATCAGTGGTGATGGCAGCAAGTTGTGCAGGCTGGTGTTCAGTCCCCCAGGAGGTGCACACAGGCACTGGCACCAGGTAGGGTGAGCCCATCCTTATGCCCTCGGATGGTCTGTGTACCCACTAGTGGCAGTGGGCAAGGCAGGCCTTATCTCCAGACCTCTGGACAGCATGAGTGGTGGCAGTGGTGGGGTACAGCAGGCCTATCCTCAGGCATCCAGAAGGTGTACATGGGCACTAGTGATGGCAGATGGGGTGGTAGATCCATAGGTCTCCAGATGACCATGCAATTGCCCACTGTGGCAGCAGCAACAGTGGCCCTCATTGTCAATCTTATTGTCAGTCTTATATTTTACAATTTTTAATATCATTTTATAGCCCTTTTAGAAAGTCCTCCCCAACTTTAAGATTTTTTAAAGCATCTATGATTTATCGAAAAAAACTTTCATCATTTCATTTTAAACATGTAAATGTTATGATTCATCTCAGTTATTTTGGTGTTGATTTTTCCTTTTGGGTTGGGTGTAAATAGGTCTTATAAATAAATATTATTAAACAGTTGTTCCAACATCAATTGAATAAGACCTTTTATTCCAACTTATTTGGAAGTAACTTACTTATAATAAAATCTCCTATATATTTGAGTCTATATCTGAACTCTATCCCATTAAATCTCTATTTCTTATTTGGTGTAATATGGTTTTATTATTATGGTATCATAATTTGTTTTGATATTTTGATAAACAATAAGACAAGACCATCATTAATCACTTTTTCCAGCATATTCTTAGAGATTTATTTTTCCAGATGGATTTTAGTATTATTTTCTTCAATCCCAAAACTCAATGGTATGCTTTTAAGGTTTATATTGCATTAATAAATTCAATCACAAATGTATTAATCCATTTTCACACTGCTATAAAAATTGCCTAAGACTGCATAATTTATAAATAAAAGGAGTTTCATTGACTCACAGTTCCACATGGCTGGGAAGGCCTCAGAAACTTACAATCATGGTTGAAGATGAAGGGAAAGCAAGGCACGTCTTACATGAGGGCAGGAGAGAAAGAGGGCATGCAGGGAAAACTGGGCTTGCAAGGCCTTAACCAATTCTGTCCCTGTGGTTCTACAGGGTAGAGCCCCCACAGCTACCTTCACAGGCTGGCATTGAGCACCCAAGGCTTTTCCAAGTGCATGGTGCAAGCTGCCAGTGGATCTATCATTCTGGGGTATGGAGGATGGTGGGCCTTTTCTCACAGCTCCACTAGGCAGTGCCCCAGTGGGGACTCTGTGTGGGGGCTCCAACCCCCCAGTTCCCGTTTGCATTGGCCTAGTAGATGGTCTCCATGAGGGCTCCACCCTTGTAGCAGACGTCTGCCTGGACTTCCAGGCACTTCCATACATCCTCTAAAATCAGGCAGAGGCTCTCAAAGCTCAATCCTTTTCTTCTGCACACCTGAAGGCCTAACACCATGTGCAAGCCACCAAGGTTTGGGGCTTGCACCCTCTGAAGCAATGGCCCAAGCTGTATCTTAACCACATTTAGCCACTGCTGAAGCTGGAGCTGCTGGGACACAGGGCACCAAGTCCTGAGGCTGCACAGAGCAGCCAGGTCCTGGGCCCAGCCCATGAAATCATTTTTTCCTCCTAGGCCTCCAGGCCTTTGATGGTAGAGGCTGCCGTGAAGATCTCTGAAATGCCCTGAAGACATCTTTCCCATTGTCTTGGCTATTAACATTTGGCTCCTCACTGCTTATGTAAATTTCTGCAGCCACATTAAATTTCTCCTCAGAAAATGGGTTTTTTTCTACTGCATGGTGAGGCTGCAAATTTTCCAAATGTTTATGCTCTGCTTCCCTTTTAAATATAAGTTTGGGGGATTAGGGCAAGATGGCCGAATAGGAAGAGGTCCAGTCTGCAGCTCCCAGTGAGACCAAAGCAGAAGGCAGGTGATTTCTGCATTTCCAACTAAGGTATCAGGTTCATCTCATTGAGACTGTGGTTGCAGCCCACAGAGGGCAAGCAGAAGCCGGGTGGGGCATCGACTCACCCAGAAAGTGCAAGGGGTTGGGGAACTCCATACCCTAGCAAAGGGAAACCATGAGGGACTGTGCCGTGAGGTACGGTGCTATTCAGCCCAGATACTATGATTTTCCCATGGTCTTTACTACCCAAAGACCAGGAGTTATCTCGGGTGCCTATGTCACCAGAGCCCTGGGCTTCAAGCACAAAACTGGGCAGCTGCTTGGGCAGACACCGAGCTAGCTGCAGGAGAGTTTTGTTTTGTTTTGTTTGTTTGTTTGTTTTCCGTACCCCAGTCATGCCTGAAATGCCAGTGAGACAGAACCATTCACTCCTCCGGAAAGGGGGCTGAAGCCAGGGAGCCAAGTGATCTTGCTCAGTGGATCCAACCCCCACAGAGCACAGCAAGCTAGGAGCCACTGGCTTGAAATTCTCACTGCCAGCACAGCAGTCTGAAGTCAACCTGGGACATTTGAGCTTGGTTGGGGGAAGGGAGTCTGCCATTGCTGAGGCTTGAGTAGACGGTTCTCCCTTCACAATGTAAACAAAGCTGCCAGTAAGTTTGAACTGGGTGTGAAACCCACCACAGCGTGGTAAAGCTGCTGTAGCCAAACTGCCTCTCTAGATTCCTCTTCTCTGCACAGGGAAACTCTGAAAGAAAGGCAGCAGCCCCAGTCAGAAGCTTATAGATAAAACTCCCATATCCCTGGGACAGAACAGCTCGGGGAAGAGGTGGCTGTGGGTGCAGCTTCAGCAGACTTAAACATTCCTGCCTGCTGGCTCTGAAGAGAGCAGCAGATCTCCCAGCACAGCGATCGAGCTATGCCAAGGGACAGACTGTCTTCTAAAGTAGGTCCCTGAACCCTATGCCTCCTGACTGGGAGACACCTCCCAGCAGGGGTCAACAGACACCTCATACAGAAGAGCTCTGGCTGGCATCTTGCAGTTACCTCTCTGGGACAAAACTTCCAGAGGAAGGAACAGGCATCAATCTTTGCTGTTCTGCAGCCTACACTGGTAATACCCAGGCAAACAGAGTATGGAATGGACCTCCAGCAAACTCCAGCAGACCTGCAGAAGAGGTGCCTGAGTCTTAGAGGAAAACTAACAGAAGCAATTGCATCAACATCATCAAAAAGGACATCCACGCAAAACCCCATCCGAAGGTCACCAACATCAAAGACCAAAGGTAGATAAATGCACAAAGATGAAGAAAAAACAGCTCAAAAAGGCTGAAAAGTCCAAAAACCATAATCCCTCTTCTCCTTGAAAGGATCACAATGCCTCACCAACAAGGGAACAAAACTGGATGGAGAATGAGTTTGACAAATTTACAGAAGTAGGCTTCAGAAGGTGGGTAATAGCAAACTCCTCTGAGCTAAAGGAGCATGTTCTAACCCAATGCAAGGAAGCCAAGAACCTTGATAAAAGGTTACAGGAACAGCTAACTAGAATAACAAGTTTAGACAAGAACATAAATGACCTGATGGAGCTGAAAAACACTGCATGAGAACTTCGTAAATCATACACAAGTATCAAGAGCCAAATCGATCAAATGGAAGAGAGGATATCAGAGATGGAAGATCAACTTAATGAAATAAAGCATGAAGACAAGATTAGAGAAAGAAGAATGAAAAGGAAAGAACAAAGCCTCCAAGAAATATGGGACTATGTGAAAAGACCAAATCTTCGTTTGATTGGTGTACCTGAAAGTGATGGGGAGAATGGAATCAAGTTAGAAAACACACTTCAGGATATTATCCAGGAGAACTTCCCCACCCTAGCAAGACAGGCCAACATTCAAATTCAGGAAATACAGAGAACACCATAAACATACTTCTCGAAAAAAGCAACCCCAAGACACATAATCATCGATAAACCAAGACTGAAATGAAGGAAAAAATGTTAAGGGCAGCCAGAGAGAAAGGTCGGTTTACCCACAAAGGGAAGCCATCAGAGTAACAGTGAAACTCTGCAGAAACCCTACAAACAGAAGAGAGAGGGGGCCAATATTCAACATTCTTAAAGAAAAGAATTTTCAACCCAGAATTTCATATCCAGACAAACTAAGCTTCATAAGCGAAGGAGAAATAAAATCCTTTACAGACAAGCAAATGCTGAGAGATTTTGTCACCACCAGGCCGGCCTTAAAAGAGCTTCTGAAGGAAGCACTAAACATGGAAAGGAAAAACATGTACAAGCCACTGCAAAAACATACCAAATTGTAAAGACCATCAACACTATGAAAAAATTGCCTCAACTAATGGGCAAAATAACCAGCTAGCATCATGATGACACAACAAAATTCACACATAACAATATTAACCTTAAATGTAAATGGGCTAAATTCACCAATAAAAAGACATAGACTGCCAAATTGGATAGAGTCAAGAGCCATCAGTGTGCTGTATTCAGGAGGCCCATCTCACATGCAATGACAAACATAGGCTCAAAATAAAGGAATGGAGGAATATTCGTCAAGCAAATGGAAAGCAAAAAAAGCAGGGGTTGCTATCCTAGTCTCTGATAAAACAGACTTAAACCAACAAAGATCAAAATAGGCAAAGAAGGGCATTACATAATGGTAAAGGGATCAATGCAACAAGAAGAGCTAACTATCCTAAATATATATGCACCCAATACAAGAGCACCCAGATTCATAAAGCAAGTTCTTCAACACCTATAAAGAGACTTAGTCTCCTACAAAATAATAGTGGGAGACTTTAAAACCCCACTGTCAATATTAGACAGATCGATGAGTCAGAAAGTTAACAAGGATATTCGGTACTTGAACTCAGCTCTGGACCAAGCAGACCACAGAACTCTCCACCCCTAATCAACAAAATATACATTCTTCTCAGCACCACATAACACTTATTCTAAAATCAACCACATAATTGGAAGTAAAACACTCCTCAGCAAATGCAAAAGAATGGAAATCTTAACAAACAGTATCTCAGACCACAGTGCAATCAAATTAGAACTGAGGATTAAGAAACTCACTCAAAACCTCACAACTACATGGAAACTGAATAACCTGCTCCTGAATGACTGCTGGGTAAATAACAAAATTAAGGCAGAAATAAATAAGCTATTTGAAATGAATGAGAACAAAGACACTACATACCAGAATCACTGTGACACAGCTAAAACAGTGTTTAGAGAAAAAATTATAGCACTAAACGCCCACATCAAAAAGCGGAAAACATCTAAAATCAACACCCTAATATCGCAATTAAAAGTACTAGAGAAGTGAGAGCAAATAAAGTCAAAAGCCAGCAGAAGACAAGAAATAACTAAGATCAGAGCAGAACTAAAGGACATAGAGACACGAAAAATCCTTCAAAAAATCAATGAATTCAGGAGCTGGTTTTTTGAAAAGATTAACAAAATAGAATGCTAGCCACACTAATATTGAAGAAAAGTTAGAAGAATCAAATAGACACAATAAAAAATAATAAAGGGGAGATCACCACTCATCCCACAGAAATACAAACTACCATCAGAGAATACAATAAACACCTCTACACAAATAAACTAGAAAATCTAGAAGAAATGGATGAATTCCTGGACACATACACCCAACCAAGATTAAACCAGGAAGAAGTCGAATCCCTGAATAGACCAATAACAAGTTCTGAAATGGCAGCAGTAATTAATGGCCTACCAACCAAAAAAGCCCAGGACCAGACAGATTCACAGCCGAATTCTACTGGAGGTACAAAGAGGAGCTGGTACGATTCCATCTGAAACTATTCCAAAAAATAGAAAAGCCTCCTTTTCTCATTTTATGAGGCCTAACTCATTTTATGAGGCCAGCATCTTCCTGATACCAAAACCTGGCAGAGACACAACAAAAAAAGAAAATTTCAGGCCAATATCCCTGACAAACATTGATGAGAAAATCCTCAATAAAATACTGGCAAACCAAATCCAGCAGCACATCAGAAAGGTTATCCACCATGATCAAGTTGGCTTCATCCCTGGAATACAAGGCTTGTTCAACATATGCAAATTAATAAACATAATCCATCCCATAAACAGAACCAATGATAAAAACCACATGATTATCTCAATAGATGCAGAAAAGGCCTTCAGTAAAATTCAACACCACTTCATTCGAAAAACTCTCAATAAACTAGGTATTGATGGGATATATCTCAAAATAATAAGAACTATTTATGACAAACCCATAGCCAATATCATACAGAATGGGCAAAAGCTGGAAGCATTACCTTTGAAAACCAGCACAAGTCAAGGATGCCCTCTCTCACCACTCCTATTCAACATAGTATTGGAAGCTCTGGTCAGGGCAACCAACCAAGAGAAAGAAATAAAGGGTATTCGGCTGGGTGCAGTGGCTCATGCCTGTAATCCCAGCACTTTGGGAGGCAGAGGGGGGTGGATCACGAGGTCAGGAGATGTAGACCATCCTGGCTAATACGCTGAAACCCCATCTCTACTAAAAAATACAAAAAAAATTAGCTGGGCATGGTGGCGAGCGCCTGTAGTCCCAGCCACTCAGGAGGCTGAGGCAGGAGAATGGCGTGAACCCGGAAAGCGGAGCTTGCAGTGAGCCAAGAGAGTGCCACTGCACTCCAGCCTGGGTGACAGAGCGAGACTCCATCTCAAAAAACAAAACAAAACAAAAAAAAAAAACAAGAAAGAAAGAAATGAAGGGGATTCAAATAGGAATATAGGAATAGAGGAAGTCAAATGGTCTCTGATTGCAGGTGACATGATTGTATATTTAGAAAATCCCATCGTCTCAGCCCAAAAACTCCTTAAGCTGATAAGCAACTTCAGCAAAGTCTCAGGATACAAAATCAATGTGCAAAAATCACAAGCATTTTTACATACCAATAGTAGACAACAGAGAGCCAAACCATGAATGAACTCCCATTCACAATTGCTACAAAGAGAATAAAATACCTAGGAATACAACTTAAAAGGGATGTGAAGGACCTCTTCAGGGAGAACTACAAACAACTGCTCAAGGAAATCAGGGAGAACATAAACAAATGGAAAAACATTTCACGCTCATGGATAGGAAGAATCAATATCATGAAAATATTGGGCCATACTACCCAAAGTAATTCATAGATTCAATGATATTCCCATCAAGCTACCATTGACTTTCTTCACAGAATTAGAAAAAAAATACTTTAAATTTCACATGGAACCAAAAAAGAGCCCGTATAACCAAGACAATGCTAAGCAAAAAGAATAAAGCTGGATGCATCACACTACCTGACTTCAAACTATACCAAAGGCTACAGTAACCAAAACAGCATGGTACTGGTACCAAAACAGATATATAGACAAATGGAACAGAACAGAGGCCTCAAAAATAACACCACACATCTACAACCATCTGTTGTTTGACAAACCTGACAAAAACAAGCAATGGGGAAAGAATTTTCTATTTAATAAACGGTGTTGGCTAGCCATATGCAGAAAACTGAAACTAGACCCCTTCTTTACACCTTATACAAAAATTAACTCAAAATGGATTATAGACTTAAATGTAAGACCTAAAAGCATAAAAACCCTAGAAGAAAACCTAGCCAATACCATTCAGGACATAGGCATGGGCAAAGACTTCATGACTAAAACACCAAAAGCAATGGCAACAAAAGCCAAAATTGACAAATGGGATCTAATTAAACTAAAGAGCTTCTGCACAGCAAAAGAAACCATCATCAGAGTGAACAGGCAACATACAGAATGGGAGAAAATCTTTGCAATCTATCCAACTGACAAAGGGCTAATAACCAGAATCTACAAGGGACTTAAACAAATTTACAAGAAAAAAACAAATAACCCCAATAAAAAGTGGGCAAAGGATAGGAACAGACACTTCTCAAAAGAAGACACTTATGTGGCCAACAAACATATGAAAAAAGGCGCAGCATCACTGGTCATTACAGAAATGCAAATCAAAACCACAGTGAGATACCATCTCATGCCAGTTAGAATGGCGATCATTAAAAAGTAAGGAAACAACAGATGCTGGAGACGATGTGGAGAAATACGAATTCTTTTACAAGGTTGGTGGGAATGTAAATTAGTCCAACCATTGTGGAAGACAGTATGGCAATTCCTTAAGGATCTAGAACCAGAAATGGTATTTGACCCAGCAATCCCATTACTGGGTATATACCCAAAGGATTATAAATCATGCTACTATAAAGACACATGCACACGTATGTTTATTGCAGCACTATTCACAATAACAAAGACTTGGAACCAACCCAAATGCCCATCAATGATAAACTGGATAAAGAAAATGTGGCACATATACACCATGGAATACTCTGCAGCCGTAAAATGAATGAGTTCATGTCCTTTGCAGGGACATGGATGAAGCTGGAAACCATCATTCTTGGCAAACTAACACAGGAACAGAAAACCAAACACCGCATTTTCTCACTCATAAGTGGAAGCGTAACCATGAGAACACATGGACACAGGGAGGGGAACATCACACACTGGGGACTGTCAGGGGGTGGGGGGGTAACTGGAGGAATAGCATTAGGAAAAATACCTAACGTAGATGATGGGTCAATTAGTGCAACAAACCACCATGGCACATGTATACCTTTGTAACAAACCTGCATGTTCTGCACTTGTAGCCCCAAACTTAAAGTATAATAAAAAATTTTAAAAAACAGTAATAATAAGTAGATGTAAGTTCAAAATTCAGATAATTTCTTTGTGAATGCATATGACTATACACTTTTAGAAACCATCAGGTCACATCTTCAATGCTTTTTTGCTTAGAAATTTCTTCTACCAGATACTCTAAATCATCTCTCTCAAATTCAAAGTTCCACAGATCTCTAGGGCAGGGACAAAACACCACCAGTCTCTTTGCTAAAGCATAGCAAGAGTGACCTTTGCTCTAGTTTCCAATAAGTTCCTAATCTCCCTCTGAGACTACCTCAGCCTGGACTTCATTGTCCATATCACTATCAGTATTTTGGTCACAACCATTCAACAAGTCTCTAGGAAGTTTCAACCTCCATCATCTGCCTGTCTTCCTCTGAGCCCTCCAAACTGTTCCAACCTCTACCCATTACCCCATTCCAGAGTTGTTTCCACATTTTTATGTATCTTTATAGCAGTACCCCACTCTGCCGGTACCAATATCTTGTATTCATTCATTTTCATGCTGCTATAAAAAACTTCCCTGAGACTGGGTAATTTGTAAAGGAAAGAGGTTTGATTGACTCATAGTTCTGCATGACTGGGGAGGCCTCAGGAAACTTACAATCATGACAGAAGATGAAAGGGAAGCAAGGACCTTCTTCACATGGTGGCAGGAGAGACAGAGAGAGAGTGAAGAGGGAAGTGCCAATTTTAAACCATCAGATCTCATGAGAACTCACTCACTATCAGGAGAACGGCATGCGGAAAACTGCCCCCATGATCCAATCACCTTCCCGCTAGGTCTCTCCTTCGACACACGGGGATTACTATTCAAGATGACTTTTGGGTGGGGACATAGAGCTAAACCATATCAATAAATAATAGCATGTTGTTTGTTCTTTGTTTACTTACATGTTCTTTTATATCTCTCAGAGAATTTAAACATTTTCTTCATAGAGGTTCTACACATTCCTTACACGGTTTGTTTCTAGATACTCTTTCTTTCGGTTCATACCTATTCTTTCATATTATTTTATATTGATCATCTTTTGTACATTGAGAAGCTATTTATTTTTGCTAATTGTTCAATCCATCGTCTTACTGAATTTTTTTGCTTCTACTGGGTTTTTAGTTGGTTTGCTTAGGTTTTCTAGTTTTGCATAATTATATAATTTGTAAATAATGATAATTTTGCTTTATTTTTTTTGCTACTTTAATTATCTTTTCTAATTGAATTGACTAATTCATTGACAGAAATACTAAATAGGAGACACTATTTATTATTATTTTGTCTTATTTCTTTCCAGTCTTTCATTCTTATGTTTTTGCAAAGTAAATAATAGAAAACACATAATTTATATTATTTCCCAAATTATGCACGTATGCAAGTTTTAACTATGCATGTATTTACAATCTTATTTTCCTTCATTTTGCAGGTAGTTCAAGGATTTTCTTTTCATCAAATATTCTCTTAATGCTAATTTTGGTGGATATTTTTGTTTCATCATATAGAAACATAATTCATTTGCCATGACTTATTCAGACATTATTATATTATTGGATATTTAAGAATGTCCCTAATTTTTCATCTTATAGATAAGCATTTCATTTATTTATTTGACAACACTGTATGAGTGCCAATATACAATAGGCAGTATTTCAGGTGATAGAGACAAAATTCCTGCCCTGAAGCTTACATTCTAATAAGACACATAATCAACAAGCAAATATGTTATATAAGGCTAATGAAGGATAGAAGACAGAGAATAGAAATGAGAATTGCCAGGAAAGAAGTTATAATTTAAATAGAATGGTAATATGAAGTCTCATTTTGATGTGCTATTTTAGCAGATAACTAAAAGAGTTAAGGTGTGATCTATATGCATATCTGGAAGAAAAGCATTCCAAGTGGTATCAATGCAAATGTCCCAAGATAGAATTTTGCTTAAGTGTTCAAAGAACAACAAGGAAGCAGAGTGGCTAGAGTGGACTGAGCAAGTGTGTGAATGGTAGATGTGGTCATAGAGTTAATGGATTGCCAGATTATCATAGGCATTGATGAAAATTTTGATTTTCAATCTGAGGGAGATGGGAGCCCTGGAGAGTTTTATGTAGAGAAGTGAAATTATCAGACTTACATTTTCCAAGGATCACTGTGATGCTGTATTGAGAGGATTAAAATAAGATAAGGGTGGTAGCAGGGAGACTAGCCAGGATGTCTTGCAGCAATCTGGGGAGATGAAAGTATCTTAAGCTAGAGAGACAGTAGGGAAAGTAGTGAGAAGCAGTCAGACTCTGGACGTTGAAGATAGTGCCAACAGAATTTGCTAATAGATAATATGAGTGAAAGAGAAGAGTTAGTAGTAACTTTAAGATTTAAACCTTGACTGCTGAAAGATTGAAGTTGTCAATTAATGAGATAAGGAGGATTATAGGACAAGCAAGATGGAGAGATCAGATGATCAGGACTTGATCTATTAAGTTTGACATGCAAAGTAAACATCTGAGAGATCAAGTAGGAATTGGATATATGAGCCTGGAGTTCAGAGGAGTGGTCTGACATGAGGAAACAATTCAGAAGTCATCAGCATTTGCATGGTATTTAAGGCCACATAAATAGACAAAATCATCTAGGGAGGCAGTACAGATAGAAAGGAGAAAAGATCTATGGGTGGAGTCCCAGGGCATTCCAATATTTAAGTCAGGGACATGAGTAACCAGCAAAAGAGGCTAAACATGCATGATCAGTAGGTAGGAAGAAAACCACAAGAGACGGAGTGAGTGACAGTCTCAAAGCCAAGTGAAGAAAGTGATACAGGAAGGAGTGGTTACGTATGTCAAATGCTGCTGATAATTCAAATAGGCTGAGCACTAATAATTGATCATTAGATCTGGAAACAAAAAGATCACTGATGATTTTGACAAAAGCTGTTTCTGTAGAGTGGTAGAAATGAATACCTAATTAGAAGGGAATCAAGAGAAAATATGCAAAGCAAAATAGAATCAAGTACAGACAACTCTTCTGAGGAATCTCCTCTAAAGGGTAGCAGAAAAAGGAGGCTGGTAGCTGATGGCAGAAGTGGAGACAGTTTTGGTTTCTGGTTTTTTCAAAATAAAAAAAAATAGCACAATGTCCCATATGGGTGGGAATGATCCAGTATAAAACAAAATTGATGATGCATGAGAGAGAGAAGAGATTTGCTGGAACAATGTCCTTGAGTAAGCAGAAAAGGATGAGATATAGTGTACAAGCTTGTTTTAAATAAGCAGAGGAGGCACAGGTGTCTGTAGGCTGGTAAACATGGTTGGGGAGCGATTGTAGAAAGTACATTCCAACTGCTTATATTTTTCTCTGTGAAGTAGAAATCAAGAGCATCAGATGTGAGAGAAGAGGAAAGGGAAGATGTTAGAGATTTAGAGAGCTGATGAGAAAGGAAAAAGTCTAAGGTAAAATAGCAGGGTCACCAGGAAATAATAAGGGTTTCTCTTACAGTTGCAGATCATTAATTTAAACAGAGCAGTCACCATGATTTTTATTTTCCACCAGCAAATTCAGCAGCTTAGATGCAGACATAAATAGAGAAGTTGCTTTAACCAGAATTTTATTTGGACCATGTGAGTGCAATGAGGATAGAAAGGGACAGGAGAATGACTATAATGAAGTCACATAGAATCTAATGGTGTGAGGAAGAAAATTAGCACAATGAGAAGGACAGGGTGGATTGTAAGTCCTTGATATAGTTTGGATGTTAGTCCCCTCCAAATCTCATGTTGAAATGTGATCCCCACTATTAGAGTAGGGTTGCCTAGTGGGAGGTGTTTCAGTCATGGAGACAGGTCCCTCATGAATGGCTTGGTGCCCTCCCTATAATAATGAGTGAGTCCTGACTCTGTTAGTTTACATGAGAGCTGGTTGTCTAACAGAACCTGGCACCTCTTCCCCTTTCTTGCTCCCTCTTTCACCATGTGACATTCCTTCTCCCCCTCCACCTTCCGCCATGATTGGAAGCTTCCTGAGGCTTCACCAGAAGCAGATGCTGTTGCCATGCTTCTTGTACAGACTGCAGAACCACAAACCAAATAAACCTCTTCTCTTTATAAGTTACCCAGCCTCAGGTATTCCTTTATTGCAATGCAAAATGGACTAACATAGTCCTGGTTGGCTGAAAGAATTGTTAGAATTAGGGTACTTTAACAGTCTTTATAAGGATATTATAAAAGGAATGAACCTTAAAGACAGAGGGTGTTGCTTAGAGAGTTGGAATTCTGAAAACTAAGATTACAGTAGTGAACAGCATGACAAAGTCTAGAGGAAAACCATGGAAGTAGATATCTCAAAGGACGGCGGTGAAAACCATTGGAGAAAAGAGGCTTAATAATTGAGAGGCCAGGATTTTGGAAGGATCATGTACTCAGATATTGAAATCACTAAGAATTAATTCAAGAGCTGTACTGGAGACATCGGTGATGAGCCAGGAGATCACACTTTGAGGAGTAAGAGGAGGTGAGCCACAGTTTTTAAATAATTGTGCAAGGAGAAATAACAGCCAATATATTTTACTTGCATGAGGTTTACAGCTGGTGATGAAGGTAGTTAGAAAGAAGAAAACAGGGAGAAAGTTATAAAAGAGACATTTGCAGCTACAGCCTTGAGTATAACTAACTGCCTGATTATTTCCTTAAGTTTCTAAATAAAATTCAAAGGCTATGAACATTTTACATTTTGAGCTCCAGTCCCAATTGCAAAATTTTCCTCTAGAAATGTGGCATCAATTTACAATTTTATCAGTGGTGTGTAAGAATTACCTTTTTAATGATCCTAGATAGCACTGAAAATTATCAGTTTAAAAAATCCTTACAAATTTAGAATGTAAAAATTATATCTGATTGTTTTAAACTGCCTCATTTTAGTCATTAAAATAACATCTATTGAGTGTTTACTGTGTGTCAGGCATTACGCTGGACTCTAGATGTGTTCCTGCTCTCGTGGAGGTTACAATCTTACCAGAGGAAAAAACTTTAAACAAATAATGAATTTCCATGTGGCAAGTGTGGGAGAGGAGAAACACTGGCACTGTATGAGAGGGAGTACCTAGACAGTCTTGAGGGTCAGATAGAAACTTAACAGAGAAGTGACATTTAAGCTGAGTCTTGATGATTAGAGGAAAATACCTTGTTAGGTATTTTTTTAATTGTTTTCAGCTATTTTATGTCTTCCTGTTTAGATTTTCTGATAGCATGCTTTGCACTCTTTTAATTAAAATTGTATGTTCTTTTAAATAGACAATGGATAATTTTAGATGGTTTTTCTCATAGCATGTTTTGTAATAGCACACTAATGACATGCGGTCTTTGCAATAGCTATTCTTTACCTAACATTATACTCCTTATCTCCTCTCGCTAGCTTATATAATTGTAACAGACCCCACCTTCCTGGCCACAGGAGTGGACATATGACCACAAGTGGGCTAATAGTTGTAACCCACCACCTGATCCAAAGTTGAGCTTCTCCTCAGGCCAAGTAGGATCCTTGGAATTAACTGAAGCTGGAAGCTTGCTTTCTTTTCCAGAAACAAATATGTAGGGATACAAGTCCAGAGCTCCCTGTGGCTACAGTTGTATGCTTGTAAGAATAAGTAGCTTGCGAGAACAAAGTTAATATGCAGAGAGAAACAGAGAGGAGATATTAAGATGGAAACAGAGAAAGGAGGAGCAAAAGGGAGAACAGGGAACAGAAAAGGGAGAGAGAGAATACCAGTCAAGTTCCCGCATGCAGCCCCCTGAGGTCAGGCCAGCGTGGCCTTCTGTTGCTAAGGTGAGCCAAGAAAACGCTGACCAATCAGTCTTATATAGTTGAATATTCGGAGTGCAGAGTGCTTTGTTGATCGTATTTAAAATATTTTCTTGTTTAACTTAGTACCTGACGCAAAGTAAGAGCTTATTAAATAGTTGTTGAACAAATGAATCAAGTCTCAACAATTTTTTTTTCTTTTTTTGAGATGGAGTCTCGCTCTTTCGCCCAGGCCGGACTGCAGTGGCCCTATCTCGGCTCACTGCAAGCTCCGCCTCCCGGGTTCACACCATTCTCCTGCCTCAGCCTCCTGGGTAGCTGAGATTACAGGTGCCCGCCACCACGCCCAGCTAATTTTTGTTTTTGTATGTTTAATAGAGACGGGGTTTCACCGTGTTAGCAAGGATGGTCTCCATCTCCTGACCTCGTGATCCGCCCACCTTGGCCTCCCAAAGTGCAGGGATTACAGGCGCGAGCCACCACGCCCGCCAACAATGTTTAAATAGTACACAGAAAACATAGGGTTTTGTTGTTGTTGACGTTTGGTTTTGTTTTGCTTTTTGCAGTACTGGAAAGATGCTAACCTAGTCCTGTCTAGATAGCTTCAGGAAAGCTAGACAGGACCTGGTTCAGAAATAGCAAGAATATCAAGGCTGTGTGTTTTAACTTGATTTCCAGGGATAAGATATGTTTGAGCTCATATTTATTGAATAAATGTCCTATCATAATGTTTCTTCTGGAAGCCCTCTTCCTGGTGGCTTATTTGTTTTTTTTTTTCCATTTCATGTACTCATATATTAGTAAACTCCATCTGCCATTCTTCCTGCTGGATGAACCAACTACTATATGGAGCATCATTTGTGGGAGAAAAAACGAACAGAAAGAGCCATCATTTCCCCCATGCTTTTGAGTATATTTTTGCTGCTCTCTGCAATCATCAGATATTTTAAGTGAAAACCACTCTATATAAACATAAAGGAAGAGAGGGACAAATAACAATGCATCTTGTTACATGGTTAAAAGCAGGTGTTTAAGGGGTAGGTGGTGCCGATAGAAATGAGCCTAGCAGAAGTAAAATTATTTTCTAGTTTTAAATAGTGGGGGGGGGGGTCATTTTTCATTGGTATTTCTTTTTTTTATTATTTGACTTTAAGTTCTGGGATACATATGCAGAACATGCAGGTTTGTTACATTTCTTACTAGCACAAAGCCCAAAGAATTTTATTGGAACATAGAACACTCTAAAGTAGATAGAAAAATATGCCCTTTTGCATTGCAATAGAAGCTCACACTTGGCATTGCTTTAATATTCAATTATTTCAGGTTGACAATCTTAGCGTTATTTACTTGGCCTGGAGGAGGTATGTCCTCTTCAGTGCGGGTCTCTTTGGCCTTGTATTGTTACCGCTGTTTCATATGGAGCTTTGGCACTTAGGCTTCATCAGACTCAGTCAATGCTGGTTGATAAGGTTGCCCACTTGCCTCTCTCTTCACAAAACTACTTCTACTCCATCCAGGACTAAAGAGAATAAATTAGAAAACCACTTCCTAAGTCCTTTTCTTTCCAAATGAAGGGTAAAAAGAGAATTATCAGAACTTGGTTGACACATTTTCTTTCCCTAGAACTAATTTTGTGAAGTTGGAGCCAGCAAAGCTGAAGTTTTCTTTCTTTCCAGAGCTACATACATATTTTTAAATTTTATACCATAAACCATTGCTCCCTTTTTCCTGTTAGGTTCTTGGTCATTATTTTTTGCTAGCATTTGTTTATTTGTCTTATTGAATGAACACTTCTTTTCTCATTCAATTAAGGACTAGAAAGAAATTATATGCTTTTTCATCACTCCATCATTTTTACCCAGACATAATTAGAAAATCAAATTATCCTGCCCTCATCATGTTTTTATATTTTATTAATTCAACATGCAACATATATTTATTAAACACCTACTTTGTGCCAAGAATTGCACATATAAACTCTTATAGACTAAAGGAGAAAAATATGTCCATGATGCAAAAATTCCATGATCTCTTTCTCCATCCTCTCCAAAGTGTGTCATCAGTACTTTAGATTTTATCACTTTGGCAACTCACAAACTTTCCAAGCATCCTAATTAATTATACCCACCCCTAACCTTGTCTGCATAAGCAACCACAACTGATACTCTCTCCTATCTCCTTCATAAGATTTGAAAAAAGCAGAAAGATCTCTATACCAGGAAGGAAGGCTGTTAGTATTCAAAGAACTGCAGAACTAAAATCACAAATAACAATAAAAGTAAGTGATATAGGCCTTGGACACAGATTCATATCCAGGTGTTTATCCAAGATAAACAAAGAGATTCTACTTCATTAACTAAGCATGTATCTGTGAATCATTTTTATCCTCTGGATCTTCAGCTTTCAGAGGAACCCCTTGAGCCTCTGCAAACATACAGGTGCAGGAACCAGGAATGGTTGAGATCATGGACCTCATTATCCCCTAGTGCATTGTCTGTCCTGAGTACTTGAGGGGGGAAGGATGACAGGACCATTAGTGTTGTTTCCTGCATGTGCAGATGGGATGATTGTCAAGACCACGTGTGATTGGCAATCTCTTCAATTCCCAATGAGCAGATCTGGGGATGTTGTCAAGCAACATAGCACTTTCCAAATTGAGTGCTGCCATGCATGTAGCAGAGTACGTGCCTGGTATGCAAAACTGGAATGCCCATGGAGCAGGTGAACATATGGTATTTGTTCTCTAATCAGAAATACAATCTCTGCATAACAATACCCCATTATTAGTAAAGTATTTCTTTGCAGTTAAGTATGACCTTTTATACTGTTATATGCTAATACCTAATCACATGGTGCAAGGAGCTTCACATTCCTCTTCAGAAGATTGTTTTATATGTTAAACTTCACATCTTTAGCCTCCTTTTTTTTTGGTACTTTTGATGGTGTTTTGCATTTTATGGAATTATTCCAACAAAGCAACTGTGGAATTGCTGTATTTTTGCATCTTGTAATGAGGTGCAGCAGAGACTCTCTTAGATGCTATAATTTAGGAATAAGTTAATAATGATCTATTCCAAACAATGTAAAATAATTTTTTATTTTAAGTCATTTTTACTGCCTTTATTAGATACATAATTAAAATAACCAAGAAGAAAGATGAGGTTCTCAAGATGTATAAAAAACCTGGACTCCACAATCTGAAATTTTATTTCGATATTCAAAAATCTAATTTCAGGGTGTTGTATTTTGTTTTCTAATTTGGTCTTGAGGTCTCTTTTGCAAAAGTGGCTCTAAAGTGTAGCCCTGCCTAACGGGGCTCCAGGAATTTGGCCATGAATGCTTACAATGAGCCTTTCACAGGATTCTTCTTTATCGCGGCAGACCAGCCAAATGCCTAAGCGTCTGACCCATGAGCAATGTGCCTCTCACAGAAAACCTGTTTTTACTGATGACACCTTTGTGACTCTTGTCTGATCTGTGTCCAGGTTATTCCTACCAGATAGCCACTCTTTAGGAGAGCCCTGATGAAGAAAAATGTTAAGTTCAAATGTGTTGGCTAGTTGAGACCCAGAGGAGGCAACTCAACAAAACGCGTAAAATAACAGAAGCAGTTTATTACTTGCAGATCAGAGAGAAGAGGGCAGCATGCCTCACAGGGCCAAGGGAAAGTGGGGAGCTGTCCAGGACACACACACTCAACCAGTGAGTGGGGAGCAAGAGAGAGAAAGAGGGACCTGTGGACTGAAGTCTTTACTGTGGTTCAGGGCATTACCCATGCAGGTTTTCCATGGGGAGTTCTAACTGCTGGATTTTGAGCAAGCCAGCACAAATTCCATGGGGTCATGCTTTGAGGGAGAGATGGTTGCTGCAGCATGTCTGTGCAGTCCATGTGGGTTGTGGGGGTCAGTGGGGCAGGTCCGGTAGGTTGCATCTAGCTGTGCTATGTGGAGGTGGTCACCAGGAGGGGATTGTGCAAGACAGATATCTGGATTGACCATATTAAGGAACTGGGAAAAGGCAGAGAACTGAAAATTATGTCAAGGATGACCAAGCTCACTTCTGGTATCAGAAAATTAAACCTATTAAAATGGATGCCGAGGCAACGTAACCTTGTAGAAAATCACTACACAGGGTTGAAATGTAAATACTTTGGGCTGAGAACCCATTAAATTCCTGAAACTTCTATGTGACTGATTACAGTAGACATCTATCAATCTTGATGCCCAATATCTATACTTTCTTCTCCTGGTAAGGAATCTTGATTTTCTAAAGGAAAATCAGCCTCTCCCTTGATTTCTGCTGAGGCTCATGAGTGGAACATGTGGCTCAATCTTCTAAACACATTCAAAATACATTCAGCATAACACATCAAATGGCCACATTCAGTGCTTAGCTCTTGAAGAGCAAAGAGATGTTCCTGATTGGATTTATGCTAGTTGCCTGATCCTTCTTTGAGGAGATTTGGAGCTAACACCAGCATGTCCAGGGATGCTGCAGAAAATTTCCTTTATAGCAATCCATAGGAGCTGGAATTGGAAGAATATTTTGAGTGAAGAATGGGACCAAGATGTCAAGTCCACATACAGAGCCAAAAGAGTTTACAAATAATGCAACCTCAACCAGGCCACAACTGTTGGGACATATATGTGAGAGTCAAAGAGTCAAAATTTGATTGGATAAGTAAGCACCAAAAGAGGGCTGTTGTCTAAGGCTAGTTTTTCCCTCCTTTTTATAGTAGTATGCTTACATAAGTCAGCTTCTTTTAAATGCCAACACCAGGTGTCCACATTTTATAAAATAGCACCTAGATCATAAAATATCCGTAAAGCTCAAATATCCATTCATAGATCACCATATATTCATTCATAATGGTGCCAGGTACTACAAACTTAAGCATTATATGCAACATAACAGGAATCGGGGAGACAAAGATTTGAGGTTTGAAAGGGTTCCTGGAGAGCATCTGTACAGGGATATCCCTAGAAAGCATTCCAGAGGACCACAGCAGTGACTGGTTTGTGGTTCAGTAACTAAGACTTTCTGGGCAAGGTTTAGGAAAAACTATAGTGCTGTTCGTTTTAATTTAGAGCTCCTACCCCTTTGACAGATCACACTCAGATTCTGCAGCTCCGAAGTCAGCCAGGAGAAAACAGAAAAGTGGTAAACTTCTCCTTTTTTTCTTTCTTTTTTTTTTTTTTTTTTTTTGGTAAACTTCTCTTACTAGGTAGTAAGTGCAAGGTGATAGCCTCAGAATTGCTGCTCTGCTGAATTCCCACATCATTAAATTGTATTTTTAATAACCAGAGACACAAAGGGTGTCAGCTACTTAAGAACCACTTCTTCTCTTCAGAACCCAGCTGACAGAGACTGTAATTCCCAGCAGCACCTGAACAGGTATCCCAGCAACAGCACTTTGCACTGACTAACTACAGGCCAGCAGGTCTCCTCATCCTTTTCTTTCCTTTCTTTTTCTCATCTGTCACTTTATTCCTGCTCTCTTGTCAGACACTCCTCCAGCTGGTCTCCTGGATCTCTTTAACTGTGGAATTCTTTGTGTCCTGCCTCTTCTTCAGAAGACCTTCTCATAAAAACCTTTACCAGGGTACATACCTATGGTACAAGCACCTTTGTTGTTTCCATTGTACAACAGATTCCCTTCTGTGCTCCATCTTTTGAAACAGTCCATCTTCTCTCTCACTCTTTTCTAAATTTGCCTCTTCTCCCCTGGCATTTGGGTGTTCCCTCATTCCTCAGTGTATCACCCAACCTTAACAAAAGTAACTTTCTCATAATTTTTCCCCCAGGAAAATAGTTAACTATTTAATGGAGAGGTCGAAGCTGGCATCATTCCTTGCCTACCCAACCTCCATTATCCTCATTGTCCTCCTTTCTAGCATAACTGATATTGTTTAGGTGACCACACTTCTTCACATTGCCTTGTGCTTCAGGGGAAGTCAAGTCCACTCCTAGCTACAGTGGTGCATCCTAGTTAGTGTAGCCAACCACAGTCATCTTATTTCTTTTCCCAAGGATAGGCTTAGAGAAGGGGGTTGGTTCTAGTGAATGAGACATGAGAGAAAGTCTGCCGGGGGACTTACAAAAAAGAATTTCCATCATCTTAGGAAAACCAGAGGTGAATGTGACACCTTTCTTCAAAATGCCATCATCATGCTTGGCCTGAGGCCTTGACCAGGGCAGCCATCTTGTCTCCAACCTGAAGTATCAGAGTGAGGAAGAGCTAAATGAGTCAGAAGAGAGCTGGAGCCCTGCCACCCTGCTCATGGCATCTCCAGACTTCCCATTATGGGGAGTAATAAATGTCTTGTTGTGTAAGACAATATGAGGCATGATATTCTGTCACTTTTGGTGAAAAGTATCCCAATATAAATACTATCCACTTTGGAGAGAGTCAAATTATAGGTCCACTCCTATGTAGGCAAAGTGATGACTTGATCTAAGTTTCATCATCTTCACCAACATAACCAAAAGACCCACATGAGTTCAAATCAAGGTATATTAATATGGTAATCTTGAGAAATTTAACCCCTCTTTTTGACGTTACAATGACAATTCCAGGTCCCCAGTTCTCTACACGACCCGAAGGGAGCTTACATGTATTAATGAATCAACTTTAATTTAGAGCCCAAAGCTTCAGGACTGACAATTCCTTGCGGTTTCTGTCCCAAGTGGGACCGTTGTCCTCATTCTTTTTCTGCTGCTCAGATGTTAGTGGAGTTAGAGACCTACATACCTGGATTGTAGTGGACCTGAAATGCTATCCCTGTCCCTCTCTGCCAGATATCTGTTGTCATTCTTGAAAAATGCGGAAGAGACTCTCCTTTGGGTGTTTCACTGAGGAAGTTCCCACAAGATTATCTGAGTCCCCTTCTGTTTATTGTAGTCATCCCACATCAAAACTGCTTGTGCTCTAAGGGGCTTCAGCACCCAGAGACATAACTTTCAATTCACACATGTAAGCTATAGCAGATATTGCACACTGGTTCCCTGCACTCTGGAGGGTAAAACATGAAAAATAACATTTCTTGGACCCCTTTCACAGCTCACATTCTGTATGGGACCTAGCTTCTCCAAGAAGAGACACCCACCCAAGATGTAGAAGACAAGAGTGACGTGAGGGAAGCTGATCTCCTGCTTTTGTCATTTTTGCTGGCAATCATGATCATGGAAGCATAAGGATTTTCTGCAGTGGTGATGACACGGTCCCTGGCTTTGTGGTGTCAAGAGGCAGGGCATGGGGCATTCATTCTGCTAGCGTGGATCATAGCTGAGATGGAGTGGAACTGGAGCCATCAGTGGTGGTGGCATCTTCTGGCTCCTTGGCTTGTGGATGAGGTGGGGTATTCTGCTTCCAGCAACTTACTGATTCCTCCACGTTGTGGTGATGGTGTGAGAATGACACCCTTAACTGGCCGGATCTACAGTATTGTTCAGGGACTGTTCAATACTGTTCCCAGAAGCTCAGGCTAATTCCAGGTCCCCCGGTCCTTCCATCACCTTTGTAAGCATCCGTGTTAAATCACTTTCTGCTTAAAGTAGTTTGTGTGATCTAGAACTGAAACCCTGACTAATATACAGCCAGTTTCTCCACAGGGTACAAACATTCCAGCAGAGTGGCTGAGTGAGAGAAGATTCCATTATCAGCACCAGACTGATCCCCAGAAGAACCCAGCATGCCCCACTGAAGAACAAGCCATATGGTTAGGTGTAGCTTATAATGCCAGATTCTTCCTTTGCCATAGCAATGCCACTCTCAGAGGCTCCATGTTGTTCCCTAAAAGCTGCCATCTGTCAGGGTCATGTGAGTCTGTCAAACACATTCATATGTACTTGAAATCCAGTGACTTGAAGGTGTAAGCCCTCCACCCAGAAGGCTTCTCAGCCCCTGTGTGGATCAGTGTATGTAAATGGACACAGTAGGGGAGACATATCGGCTAATTCCATGTGCAAGGAGCTTCTGTGTTCTGGATCCTGCCTGGACATTATAGGACTATTCCTAATTGTATTTTATAGGAGTGTTCGCCTAGCCAAGACACCCTATTACATCTATAAAACAGATGTGATTTAGTTGCTATGAGGATCCAGTAAGGTAAAACAGGTGACAGGTGAAAATGGTAAGCACATTACCTGGGCCATACTGGTGCTAATGAGCATTCTTTTCTTTATTAGTTCAGTATGCGGCAAGTAGGTAATCTGAGCAAATTTTATGAAATAATTTGTGGGTTTTTTTTTTTTTTTGAGACAGAGTTTCGCTCTTGTTGCTCAGGCTGGAGTGCAGTGATGCAATCTCAGCCTCCCAGGTTCCAGTGATTCTCTTGCCTTAGCCTCCCAAGTAGCTGGGATTACAGGTGCCCGCCACCACGCCCAGCTAATTTTTTGTATTTTTAGTAGAGATGGGGTTTCACCATGTTGGCCAGGCTAGTCTTGAGCTCCTGACCTCAGGTGATCTACCCGCCTTGGCCTCCCAAAGTGCTAGGATTACAGGCATGAGCCACCATGCCTGGCCAATTTGTGGTTATTTTAAACATTGCTATGTAAGCTTTTGCTGGGCCTTATTTAGCATTATGTATAGTTTTCTTTTTCGCGTATTTTCAAATTCAAATGCTAGAAAGATTACTTCTTGTCATTCAAAATATTCTTGCTTCTTAATAGTATATCTCATTATTTCCTAAATGGAGCTCATCATTTATCCATTACTTCAACAAATATGTATTTAGTGCCTTGTGTCAGGCCCTATTTTAGACATTGGAAATACAATAGTGGAAAAGCAACAAGGTTTTTGTACTTACAAAATTTTCGTTCTAAGGAAGGTTACAGATAATTATCAAATAAGGATATAACCAAAATATTCTTAAACTCATGCTATTGCCAAAATCAGTTGACTTTTATTTCACTTAAAAAAAAAAAATCTTGCTACAGTCTCCTTCCCTCCCCTCTTCCTTACTTCCTTCTTTTCTCCTTTTCTTCCTTCCTTCCCTTCTCTTCTCCCTACCTGCACTTTTTCTTTTCAATTAATTGTATCAAATAACTGTCAATTGCCAAACACTGTTCTTGGAAAAGTGGATACAACAGAGAACAAAAAAGATAAACATTCTACAGTTTGGGAGCTTATATTCTAGCAGGAGGAGATAGGCAACAAATAAGCTAGAAATAAACAAATAATAAAAATTAGTACTTAGTGAAATCAGGGAAATAAGCTGGTATGTTAGAAAGTGAATGGAGGAGAAAGGGGGCCACTTTAGATGGGATGGCCAAGGGCACTGGGTACTGAAGGGTGAGAAGAGGCCAGCCATCTGAAGAGCCATGAGGAAGAGAGAACAAGCAGACTAGCGGGTACAAAGGCCATGAGGCAAAGCAAGGATGTGCGGCTCTTGAAGAGAGAGGAAGGAGGCCAGTGCGGCCGGAGCTCAATGAGCAGATGGGAGAGTGGGAAGAGACGAGGCTAAAAAGTGTGGGCAGGTGGAAAGCCATATGGGGCCTCTTGGGGCAAGGTAAGAAATTTTTTTTTTCTTAAGTGTGTTGAAAGATCAGAAGGACCTTGTTCACTTATGCATGTCTTCTCCATCCTCAGATCCCACATGGCTCCCAGGCTTTGGGATGCTATGGTGTTAAACATGCATTTAGAGTTAGGATGAGGCAGAGGAAGGCCCACATAATAAGACCAGCCTTTTTTTTCTGTAGAGGAGGAGAATTAGAAAATAAACAATTACCACCATTTCCTATCATTATCATCTCACTAAAAAAAGTCTTCTAAATACCAGTAAAATAAAAAGGTAAGAAAGACATCATCTATCATCTTGGAATTTACTTGTTTTTAAAAATAGCATTATTAAAAAGTCACTGCACCATCCCTTTTCTTTCCTATTTCACCTTACACCGGTAAATGACACTTGTCCTTGGGCCGGAGTTATGCTTCTATTTAATTATTTCCTGTGGTGGTTTTCTGTTTCTAAACGTTGAAACATCTGCATATTTTCTTTAAATTTGTTCTTTCAGTATAGTTATCAAAGGATAGTCTCCTACTTACATTCTTGGGTTAAGAAAATGATTTTTAAAGTGGAGGAACTCCATACGCCTAGATTTTAGGATGGATCTTTCTAATTTGAGTGACCCTCTTGGGAATGAACTGTAATTTCTTATACATTACTTTCTATAAATCACACACTTTCTTTAAATGTATATGCTATAGTATGAAAAATGAATATCTCCTAGCTCACCTTTTATGGCAAGACCACTGGCTTTCATGGACAGGAAATAAGCTTTAATTAATTTGTCAGTTAGCAGTGATGAGATGCAATGGGTTTTCCATGCCCCTGTAGGGGCCTCCCATGGGATGTAGGACACGAAACTCAGAGGCTCTCCTCGGTAGAAGATGCAATATATTAGTCATTAAGTACCCGAAAGCATTTCCTAAAACTTCTTTTATAATATGGTATTTATAAGAGTAGTATTATAAAATTATATTTATAAAATGGTATTATTTTATAGAATGGTGTTTGGTAAACTACCTTTTTACCACACAGGTTTTTAGACTCAAAATTTAGTGTTAAAATTATCTCCTCCAAAAACAATAGCTTAAATCCAAAATTAGCAGTAGGTAAATAATCCCATTCTAACAATGAGAGAAAAACCGTAAAGTTAGAGTATCTTAAGAAAGAATATTTTGGAAAGAAGTACGTCAGCTTTAATTTCTAATTTACTAAAAGGATTAGTACTCAGTTAAGTTTAAAAACACCACATTACTTCCTTAATGTTTCAGATCCCAAAATGAAATACTGAATATCTTATATAAAAAAAAAGTCATGGCCATTGAAATTGTTGTGGTGCTATTGATTGCTAGTCTTTATGTGTATTCTGTTATGCTCTAGAAATATTGATTTAAAAACCAAATAGCAATAGAATTTTTAGCTTGATGATTCATAGAAAACATGGGCAGTAAGAAAAAAAATCTATACACTTTACATACTCCCTTATTAAAACACTTGAAAATTCTAATTTTAGGAAGTTTTCAAAAATCAATATTTAAGAAAGATTTTAAATGTTTATTTACAATGGTCCCAGATTTTATTGATGTAGGTAATAACTGTTATCTGGTACACATCTTTAGAACCAGAAGACTGAGTTTATGTCCTGGTTCTGCCACTTCATTTTGGGACCTTAAGAAAGCCACTTAAACTCTCTTAATCTTAACTTCCTCTTTTTTAAAAAAATACTAATTCCAAACTTCTTCATAGTGATGTTATAAATACCCAATAAGTTTAATTATAATAATGCACTTTGTAAACATAGCCAAAGGTTACTTTTTCTAATTATTACATGTGTAAATCACTTTTTTTGTATATTTTTAATACTAACTTACTTTTTTTTTTTTTTGCTCCTCTACAGGATTTAATATTGGGCAAAGCCATTTCATTCCCTTAGACTGGTCTTCAAACTGGAATGTGTATCTCCTTGAGAGTACCTGAACACTCCAAATGGTATATGATAATTTATAATTGCAAAGGAATCAATTTCCAGCTCCTAAACTTCTATATGTGCCCTTTCTTAGCATAATGTAGGTTCTTCTTTCCCATTTCCCTTTTCACAGTAGACTTACTCTTATTTCAAAAAGAAAAAAATTTAAGCATATGTCCCTAATACATCCAGAATCTTACCACAATATACCGGACAAGAATGTAAAAACTCAGGGCAACCAAATAAAGGAATATTTGAAAGTATTTTGTTTAGGGAAGCCTTATTTAATGCATAATCAAGGCACTAGAGTTTGATGAGGTGACATATGGATATTGTCTAACACTATATTTGGCCATAAGCAGAGCTCATTCCATGTAATATTTACTTTCTTAATTCATATTTCAAAATTCCCCTTACTTAATGGATACTTACTATTGGATAAATGCTTTAGAGGAGGCGGGGGATTCAGTGTGTGACCATACTTAACAACCCTTTGGAAATATGTACTTTATATATTACTTATAATAGAAGCTATTTGTTAAGAGCATATTTTGTCTCATGCTTACTGATTTATAAATGATCCTTCATCCCCCATGGTTCTGCAAGGTATGTATTTTAATATCTTGAGATTAGAAGACATACATTCATACAGATAACAAAGTCAGGATATTCACCCAGTTCTTTTTGATTAATGGTGTATTGATGAGCAAGATGGTGGGGTAGAAGGCTCCACCAATCAACCCCCCAACCCCCTGCCACAAGGACACCTATCTACACACAAGAAGCACCTTCATAAGAACCAAAAATCAGGTGAACACTCTTAGTACCTGGTTTTAACTTCATATCGCTGAAAGAGTCACTGAAGAGGTGGGAAAAACCTTCTCGAATCACCAACAATGCCCCTGCTCTATCCCCTGGCAGCAGCAGCCTGGTGCAGACAGTGTTTCTTCGTGCTGGGGAAAGGGATATTTATTGCAGCATCAGTGAGGCAATGTACTCAGTGCTGCCCTATTAAAACAGAAAACAAAACCAGACAAAAGTCAGCGGATGCCCGCCCATGGAGAGAGCAATTAAATCAGCCATAGCAAGAGGGGAATCACCAATCCCAGTGGTGCAAACTTCAGTTCCCATAAGCCTAGCCATCACAGGTTAACATGCTTTGGGGCCCTACATAAACTTGAAAGGCAGTCTAGGCCACAAGGACTGGAACTTCCAGGCAAGTCCTAGTGCTGAACTGGGCCCAGAGACAGTGGACTGATGGGGCATGCAACCTACTGAGACACCAGCCAGGGGCAGCTAAGGGAGTGTGGGTATCACCTCTCCCCTAAACCCAGGCTGCTCAGCTCCAAAAGAGACCCCTTCCTTCTGCTTGAGGAGAGGAGAGGTAAGAGTGAGGAGGACTTTTTCTTGCATCTTAGATACCAGCTTAGCCACAGCAGGATAGGGCATCAGTCAGCATCATGAGGCTCTTATTCGAGGCCCTAGCTCCTGGATGACATTCCTAGACATACCCTGGGCCAGAAGAAAACCTGCTGCCTTGAAGAGAAGCACTCAGTTCTGGCAGTATTCCTCCTCTGCTAACTGAAGAGCCCTTGAGCCCTGAATAACCAGCAGTGATACCCAGGTACTATGTTAAAGGCCATGAGTGAGCCTATAAGACTTGCTGGCTTCAGGTGAGACTCAGCATATTACCAGCTGTGGTGGCTATGGGGAAAAACTCCTTCCACTTGAGAAGAGCAGAAGAAAAAGCAAAGGATATTGCTTTTTCTATTTATTCAAATATCATTTGTCTTGCACCTTAGGTACCAACACTGCCACAGGGGTGTAGAACATCAAGCAGGCTCTTGGGGTCCTAGATTGCAGGACTTGACTCTTGGATGGTATTTCTGGACTTGCCCTGAGTCAGATGGGAGCCCACTGCCCTGAAGGGTGAGTCCAAGGCCAGGTAGCATTCACCACAAGCTGACTAAAGAGCCCTTGGGCCTTAAGGGAACAACATTATTAGTCTGGCAGTATTCCCTGTGGGCTAGACATGGTGGTGACCATGGGGTGAGGCTCCTCTGTCTTTGGAAAGGGGAGGGAAGAGTAGGAAGGACTGTGTCTTGTGGTTTGAGTTCCAGCTTAGCTGCAGTATAAGAAAACACCAGGCAGACTTCTAAGGTTTTTTACTCTAGTTGCTGGCTTCCAGATAGCACTTCTGGTCCTGCCCAGGGCCAGCAGGAATTCACTACCCTGAAGGGAAGGACACAAGCCTTGCTGGCTTTGCCACCTGCTGACTGTAGAGCCCCATGGCCTTTACGAATTAATTATAGACTGTAGCCAGGAAGTTACAGCAGGCCTTAGGTGAGACCCGGTGCTGTGCTGGCTTCAGGTGTGACCTAGTACGGCCCTAGTCATCATGGCCACAGGGGTGCTTGTGTCACACCACCCACAGCTCCAAGTGGCTCAGAACAGAGAAAAAGATTCCATTCACTTGGGAGAGAGTAAGGGAAGAGAACAAGAGTCTCTGCCTGGTAATCCAGAGAATTCTTCTGGATCTTGCCCAAGACCATCAAGGTAGTACCTTTATGAGTCTGCAAGAACCCCAGCATTACTGGGCTTGGGATGCCCCCTAGAGTGGATACAGCTTAGATCATAACATGCAAATTCTTTCAAATATCTGGAATGCCTACCCAATAAGGACAGCTAAAACAAGCCCAGACTGAGAAGACTACAATAAATACCTAACTTTTCAATGCCTAGACACCAAAGAACATCTATAAACATCAACACCATCCAGGAAAACATTACCTCACCAAATGAACTAAATAAGGCACCAAGGACCAAACCTGGAGAAACAGAGATATGTGACCTTTGAGACAGATAATTCAAAACAGCTGTATTGAGAAACTCAAAGAAATTCAAGATAACACAGAGAAGGAATTCAGAATTTTATCAGTTAATTTAACAAAGAGATTGAAATAACTAAAAAGAATTAAGCAGAAATTCTGATGCTGAAAAATGCAATTGGCATACTGAAGAATGCATAAGAGTCTTTTAATATCAGAATTGATCAATCAGAAGACAGAATTGCTGAGTTTGAAGACAGGCTATTTGAAAATACACAGCCAGAGTAGACAAAAGAAAAAAATAATGAAAACCAATGAGACATCCCTACAGGATCTAAAAAATAACCTCGAAAAGGAAAATCTAAGAGTTATTGGCTTTAAAGAGGATGCAGAGTAAGAGATAGAGGTAGAAAGTTTATTCAAAGGGATAATAATGATAGCTTCCCAAACTTAGAGAAAGATATCAATATCTGAGTACAAGAAGGTTATAGAACACCAAGCCAATTTAATCCAAAGAGTACTACCTCAAGGTATTTAATAATCAAACTCCCACAGGTCAAGGATAAATAAAAAAATTCTAAAAGCAACAAGACAGAAATAAATAATATACAATGGAGCTTCAATACATCTGGCAGCAGACTTTTCAGTGGGAACCTTACAGGCCAGGAGAGTGGCATGACATATTTAAAGTGCTGAAGGAAAAAAATCTTTTCCCCTAGAATAGTATATCCAGCAAAAATATCCTTCAAACATGAAGGAGAAATAAAGACTTTCCCAGACAATAAGCCTTTCCCAAACTGAAAGCCTTTCTTCTAAGATCTGGAAAATGATAAGGATGCCCACTTTCACAACTTTATTCAGCAAATACTAGAAGTCCTAACTAGAGAAATCAGATGAGAGAAATAAATAAAGGGCATCCAAATTGGAAAGGAAGAAGTCAAATTATCCTTGTTTTCAGATTATATGATCTTATATTTGGAAAAACCTAAAGACTCCACCAAAAAACTATTAGAACTAATAGACAAATTCAGTAAAGTTACAGGATACGAAATCAACATACAAAAATCGGTACCATTTTTATATGCCAACAGTGAAGAATCTGAAAAAGAAATCAAAAAGTAATCCTATTTACAATAGCCACAAATAAATTTAAATACCTAGGAAAGAACTTAACCAAAGAAGTGAAAGATCTCTATAATGAAAACATAAAACATTGATGAAAGAAATTGAAGGTGACACCAAAAAATGAAAAGATATTTCATTTGTATGGATTGGAAAAATCAATATTGTTAAAATGTTCATACTACTCAAAGCAATCTACAGATTCAATGCAATCCCTATCAAAATACCAATGACATTCTTCACAGAAATAGAAAAAAAAAACTCTAAAATTTATATGGAACCAGAAAAGACCCAGAATAGCCAAAGCTATCCTATACAAAACAACAAAACTGGTGGAATCACATTACCTGCCTTCAAATTATAGTACAGAGCTAAGTCACCAAAGCAGCATGGTACTGGCATAAAAACAGACACATGGATAAATGGAACAGAATAGAGAACCCAGAAACAAATCCACACACCCACAGTGAATTCATTTTTGACAAAAGTGCCAAGAACATACACTGGGTAGAAGACAGTCTCTTCAATAAATGATGCTGGGAAAACTGGATATCCACAGGCAGAAGAATGAAACTAGACCCTTATCCTTCTCTGTATACAAGAATCAAATCAAAATGGACTAAAGACTTAACTCTAAGAACTCAAATTATGAAACTACTACAAGAAAACATTGAGGAAACTCTCCAGGACATTGGTCTGGGCAAAACTTTCTTGAGTAATACCCAGGCAAGCACAGGCAACCAAAGCAAAAATGGACTAGTGGGATCACAACAAGTTAAAAATCTTCTGCACAGCAAAGGAAACAATCAACAAAGTGAATAGACAACCCACAGAACAGGAGAAAATATTTGCAAACTACCCATATGACAAGAAATTAATAACCATGTTTTATATAAGGAGCTTAAACAGCCTTAGAGGAAAAAAAATCTAATAATCTGATTAAACAATAGGCAAAAGATTTGAATATAAATTTCTCAAAAAACATACAAATGACCAACAGGCATAAGAAAAGGTGCTCAACATTACTGATCATCTGAGAAATGCAAATCAGAACTACAATGGGATATCATCTCACCCCAGTTAAAATGGCTTATATCTAAAAGACAGGCAATAACAAATGCTGCAACAGAGTAGAAAAAGGGAACCTTTGTACACTGTTGGTGGGAATGTAAATTGGTACAAACACTATGAAGAACAGTTTGGAAGTTCCTTAAAAAACTAATATTGAGCTACCATATGATCCAGCAGTGAGTTTACCCAATGGGTACATAGGCGTATATATTTATAGGGTACATGAGATATTTTGGTACAGGCATGCAATGTGTAATAATCATATCATGGAGAATGGGGTATTCATCCCCTCAAGCATTTATCCTTTGTATTACAAACAATTCAATTACACTCTTTTAGTAATGTATAATTAAGTTATTACTGACTATAGTCACCCTGTTGTGCTAGCAAATACTAGGTCTTATTCATTCTTTCTAACTGCTTTTAATGTAAGCATTAACCATCCCCACCTCCCCCACAATCCCCTACTACCCTTAGCAGACTCTGGCCACCATTGTTGGATACGCTATGCCCATGAGTTCAATTGTTTTGATTTTTAGATCCCACAAATCTGCCACTGTAGAACCAAAGGTGCTATAGACAATATGTAGACAAATACATGTGGCTGTGTTATAATAAAACTTTCTATTACTTGCTTATACAGCACATATATCAGAGACCATGCTCTTTTCTTTAGTCTGCTCTCAGAACACACTACTTTGTATAGAGTCCATTCTTTTTTTTAAAGATTTTTTATTTTAAAAATTAAAATACTAAACAATTTTTCAACAAATATAATGCATAATCAAAAATATTTTGTTCTAATTTATGTCCAATTCAGAAAATAATAAGTGGGAAAAAGGGAACATAGGGAAAACAGAGAAAGGGAGAAAGAGATACACAAAATCATGAAGGTAAAATAAACGGCGGGGAGAAATGCAAGAACAGGAACAAATGCAAACTTTAGGATGTAAAATCCCCAGGAACAGGGACATTTTCTGTCTTGTTCAGTGCTGCATTGCAGACACTACAATACAGCCTGGTTCATGGTTTTAGCTTCTAAGATAGTCTAGGGAGACAAATCTTTCCTAGCAGGAATAACAAGCCTTCATTCTAAGGATTAATTTAGATCATCAGACTATCTTCATTTTAAGTATCGTGGAAAACATTAGGAAGCAAAGTCCCTAATTATGTCTATAATTATGAAAAAAATCATATTTTAAAAAGTCTTTGGTAGCAAGAAAGACTGTAATATACTCAAAGACGGGAATGTTTTTCCACTTGTTTCTTTACTTATATCACTTGTTTTCTGTTTCTTTTAAGAAAGTAAACACTGCATTTTTTAGTTTATTTGGTATATATAGTTTTGCAAAATATGCATTTTTGTGCCTCTCTGTCTTTTTATTTCCTATTATTCCATTACTGTCTTTGCATTTGTATAGAGTCCATTCTAAGGAAAAGGTTCTTTTCTCTTCCTGCTTTACAGGTGTATGGGTAGCTGATTTTATGGTTGAGCTCTTTTACATACAGAATTTAGGTATTCATTACTGCACTATCTTAGAAGCCAAGGCTTCATGTCACTTGGAAATAGAAAATGAAGAGAGTGAGACGGTTGAGGGAGGAGGGTGATAAGTTTGATAACCATATTCTGAGAAGCTAGTTTGGCCTTAATGCATTAGCTCTCTCCCTTGCCCTCTTAACAGAAGCCAACTAATGATTTTCCATTTATTCCCACAAACACTTTCTCCTTTTCATTCTTTATAGCTAAGAGATAATGTGAGCACATTTCTCTCTTGGGCATGCATAGCAGAGTTAGGGCATCTCTTTTTATTACTGGCCTCCATCCTGAACAGAGACAACCAATGCTGGTTTCACTGGACTTGAAAAAAATCACATTCGTTATTTATGGACATGTCAATTTCTCCTTTGGATATAAGATGGTATGTTTGGAGATTTTCCATTTCCATAAAATTTCCTTAGAAACATTTGCCCTGCAGAATAATATGCTTGTATTGCAGATGAAAGAGTCTGGTATAAAGGTCATTCTGAAGGGTTTAGCTAAATGCAAATAAACTGAAACTACCATGGGCCACGTGTTAACTACATATAACTGATATTTTCTATTGTAGAAAGGAAATAAGCAAAAATAAAAAAAAATTTTACCCAATTCAGTGAGAAAAGCAATAACATATAATGCAAAATCTATTGATATTAGTAGATCAATTATTGAATTATTTATTCAGAATCTAGGAAATGCAGTTAAACTCTGCTCAATGTATATTTTTTATTGTGTCCATATAAAAAAGCTACTTTTACCTAATCCTAAGCCTTATGTATCTTAGAGAACCTCTGCTGCACAGAACCATACAACTGACAATTAACATGTAAGCAATAACATTTATTGCAAAAAGGATTCCAGTTTTGGTTTTCTTTTCCATTTGCACTAAGCTACATTTTCTCTTATATCCCTCTGTATTTAATGTTGGATGCATCCATCTTTCCTTCTTTTTGATATATTTTTGCTCCTGGATCACATGAAACCTCTTCTAATTACTTTCTTCATTTTAAATGCTCATTTTTCATATCTGTTATGGAAAAATTAGAAAACACAGGTAGGAAAAGGGAGTAAATCATTCAAAATTTCACTACTCAGTGATAACCACCATTAAAATGTTGGTTCTTCCTGATCTATATATACTTTATATGTAAATATATAATTTTAAAACATGGAATATGATTCCACATATTCTCCTGTAGTTCTGGTCTCACTCTGTCACCCAGGCTGGAGTGCAATGGCACAATCATAGCTCACTGCAGCCTCGAACTTCTGGGCTCAAGGGACCTTCCTGCCTCAGCCTACCAAGTGGCTGGGATTACTGGCATGAGCCACCACACTCAGGTTGTTTTTCTTTAAACAGTTTTTTTATTCATAAATATAGACTCATATCCTAATTTTACAGGATTCCATAAAATTCAAACAGATGTATAAATGATAATTCAGTAAAACCTTTATCATTGAACTTTTAGATTGCTTCATTGACAAAAATATCTCTGAAAAAAATCTTTGCATTATTTTTCATTCCTTAGGATAGATTTCTAAAAGAAAATTACTGAATTGAAAATATGTAATTTTTAAGGCTGTTGATGCATTTTGTCAAATTATTCTTCCAAATGGCTGCAACAATTACATTTCCACCTGGATTATGTAAAAGCACCTGCTTTCCCACTCCTCAATGATACCCAGTATTTACACGCTTATGCTAATTTCCCTCTAAGTAGCATCTTTTTATTATTAAGTGGTTGATATGGGTTTAAAAAGGACAAAGGGGCTGGGCACGGTGGCTCACGCCTATAATCCAAACACTTTGGGGGGCCCAGGAAGGAGGATCATTTGAGCGCAGGAGTTGGAGACCAACCTGGGAAACAGGGAAAGATCCCATCTCTACAATCATTTTTTAAATCAGTTGGGTGTGATGGCACACACCTGTGATCCCAGCTACTTGGGAGCCTGAGATGGGAGGATCACATGAACCTGGGTGTTCAGTGAGCTATGATCATGCCCTTGTACTCCAGCCTGGGTGACAGAGCAAGACCCTGTCCCTTAAAAAAAAAAAAAAAAGGCAAGGAGAGAGCTGGCAAGATAGCCAAATAAGAACAGCTGCGGTCTGCAGCGCCCAGTGAGACCAAGGCAGAAGGTGGGTGATTTCTGTATTTCCAACTGAGGTACCCGGTTCATCTCAATGGTACTGGTTAGACAATGGGTGCAGCCCATGGAGGGCAAGCAGAAGCAAGGTGGGGCGTTGCCTCACCGGGGAAGTGCAAGAGGCCGGAGAACTTCCTCCCCTAGCCAAGGGAAGCCCTGAGGGACTGTGCTATCTGGCCCAGATACCACGCTTTTCCCACGGTTTTTGCAACCCACAAACTAGGAGATTCCCTCCTGTGCCTACACCACCAGAGCCCTGGGTTTCAAGCACAAAACTGGGTGACTGTTCGGGCAGACACCCAGCTAGCTGCAGGAGTTTATTTTGTACCCCAGTGGTGCCTGGAACCCCAGCGAGACAGAACCATTCACCCCCGACCCGGAAAGGGGCCTGAAGCCAGGGAGCCAAGTGGTCTTGCTCAGTGGGTCGCACTCCCACAGAGCCCAGCTAGCTAAGAATCACTGGCTTGAAATTCTCACTACCAGCACAGCAGTCTGAAGTCAACCTGGGACAATTGCGCTTGGTGGGGGAGGGGTGTTTGCCCTTACTGAGGCTTGAGTAGGCAGTCCCCTCACAGTATTAAGGAAACTACTGGGAAGTTCAGACTGTGCAGAACTCACTGCAGCATGGCAAAGCACCTGGGGCCAGACTGTCTCTCTAGATTCCTTTTCACTGGGCTGGACATCTCTGAAAGAAAGGCAGCAGCCCCAATCAGGGGCTTATAGATAAAACTCCCATCTCCCTGGGACAGAGCACCTGGGGGATGGGGCAGCTGTGGGCACAGCTTCAGCAGACGTAAATGTTCCTGCCTGCCAGCTCTGAAGACAGCAGTGGATCTCCCAGCACAGCGCTCGAGCTCTGCTAAGGGACAGACTGCCTCCTCAAGTGGGTCCCTGACCCCCATGCCTCCTGAGTGGGAAACACCTCCCAGCAGGGATTGACAGACACCTCATACAGGAGAGCTCCAGCTGGCATCTGGCAGGTGCCCCTCTGGGACAAAGCTTCCATAGTAAGGACCAGGCAGCAATCTTTGCTGTTCTGCAGCCTCTGCTGGTAATACCCAGGCAAACAGGGTCTGGAGCGGACCTCCAGCAAACTCCAGCAGACCTGCAGAAGAGAGGCCTGACTGTTAGCAGGAAAACTAACGAACAGAAAACAATAACATCAACATCAACAAAAAGGACACCCACAGAAAAACCCCATCCAAAGGCCATCAGCATCAAAGATCAAAGGTAGATAAATCCATGAAGATGAGGAAAAACCAGCACAAAAATGCTGAAAATTCCAAAGACCAGAATGCCTCTTCTCCTCCAAATGATCGCAGCTCTTCTCCAGCAAGGGCACAAAACTGGGCAGAGAATGAGTTTGACAAATTGATAGAAGTAGGCTTCAGAATGTGGGTAATAACAAACTCCTCTGAGCTAAAGGAGCATGTTCTAACCCAATGCAAAGAAGCTAAGAACCTTCATAAAAGGTTACAGGAACTGCAAACTAGAATAACCAGTTTAAAAAACATAAATGACCTGATGGAGCTGAAAAACACAGCACGAGAACTTTGTGAAGCATACATAAGTATCAATAGCTGTATCAATCGAGCGGAAGAAAGGATATCAGAGATTGAAGATCAACTTAATGAAATAAAGTGTGAAGATAAGATTAGAGAAAAAAGAACGAAAAGGAAAAAACAAAGCCTCCAAGAAATATGGGACTACGTGAAAAGACCAAACCTACAATTGATTGGTGTACCTGAAAGTGATGAGGGGTTGGGGGGCACAGGAGGGAGAGCATTAGGACAAATACCTAACGCATGCAGGGCTTAAAACCTAGATGACGGGTTGATGGGTGCTGCAAACCACCATGGCACATGCAGGTGACAAACCTGCACGTTCTGCACATGTATCCCATAACTTAAAGTATAATTTTAAAAAAAATGGAAGAAAGACTAGTATTATTTAGTAACTCCCTTAAGGATTATTGGTTATTCCCCATTTACATCATGGAGCCCCACATCAAATCTCTAGCTCCTGTTAATATAAATCCATATTTCTTATTATTCTTGTAGTTAAATGTATTAAGAATTGCTTGTTTTCAGCAAAGCCACTATTAAACCTCAAAATGTTATTCATTTCAAGATCCTGCAGCTACCAATCTAAAAAGCTTTTAACTAAGTCCCTAAGGCTGAATATTGGCATCCTTTCTCAGTGGTTAAATAAAATATGCAACAACGTAAATAGGCTTAAATTGAGCTGCCAGTTTAAGACTTGGGATTTCTATCATCTTCTGACTGAGATTTGACCCAGCTATTTTTTGACTTCTAATTACTTCTATACAGGTGATCCTTCTCCAGTGTTCTTCAAAATAGAGATTGACAGAAAATTTTCTTCAGCTGAATCCTCAGCTCCTTGATAATGTAAGAAAAAAGAACATTCTGTGGACTTTCCTGGTCCCAGTTGTGGTTTAAAAAAATAATAACAACAGAATGTTAAAAAGATAACTTTTCTATCTCAGTTTTGATGAATGTGGTACATAGCAGATATCAAACTACACGTAAAGCCTAAAATAGGGTTGAGAGAGTGGATATAGAGAGAGAGGATTTGGAAAGAGATTTCTTCGGAGAAAGCATGACTTTGCTGTGAGACTCCATCCTATCCCATCCAAAATGAGGGGAAAGTTTATCTCGGTCACCTTAAAGCTTACTGATGGGGCATTCACTGGCCTCGAGGAGAGCTTTACATTGTGCTTTAAAGCTGGAAGACACTTGCCCTGACCCTCAAGCAAGAAAGATAAAGCAGCCTTTGGGTGAAGAATAAAAACTGCCACATTGCAATGGGCCAGCACTCCCAGAGTTTGTCAGGGCAAGGGACGAGTACCTATTCCCTGTGGTCTTGCTATGAGCCACACAAAAGAGAAGGGCAGATTGGACTCATGTTAAGTCCGATCAAGAGAAGTATTTGACGCCTGTAATCCCAGCACTTTGGGAGGCCGAGGCAGGCGGATCACAAGGTCAGGAGATCGAGACCATCTTGGCTAACACGGTGAAACCCGGTCTCTACTAAAAATACAAAAAATTAGCCGGGCGCGGTGGCGGGCACCTGTAGTCCCAGCTACTCGGGAGGCTGAGGCAGGAGAATGGCGTGAACCTGGGAGGCGGAGCTTGCAGTGAGCCGAGATTGTGCCACTGCAATCCGGCCCGGGCTAAAGAGCGGGACTCCGTCTCAAAAAAAAAAAAAAAAAAAAAAAAAAGAGAAGTATTTGAGAGGGTGAAGAATCGGCTGTAGAGATAACTGGAAAACCAGGGGCTGGGGATAGATAGCAAGGTGGGATGGGGCCGGGTTGTGAGTCAAAGGCGGGGTGGTGAGTCCATTCCCAACATCAAGGAAGCTGCATTGAAATACCACAAAAGTAGCCATAAAAGCAAGTCCTCTTGAAACACCCAGATCATGATGCTATCTGGTAAAGGTCAGAAATGGCAGCTAGCTTGTCGGGAAGGAGAATGAACAGAGCAGAAATGCATGTCCTTCCCTGGAGGATGCAGGTTCAGCAACTAGAGGTAGTCCTACCTTTTAATATGTATTAGGTTTGTGCAAAAGCAATTTTAATGGCAAAAACCGCAATTGCGTTTGCACCAACCTAATATATAAGGGAAAATGGTATCTTGAACTGGACATCTTTAATATGTGAATCCAGACTGATTTTGAAACTTAAA
The DNA here is from genome assembly GCF_000001405.40 of Homo sapiens. Lineage (NCBI taxonomy): Eukaryota > Metazoa > Chordata > Mammalia > Primates > Hominidae > Homo > Homo sapiens. The sequence continues at coordinate 65,708,213 of NC_000001.11, read as the reverse complement.
GAGACAGACCTGTCTATGGAGGCCTGGCAGACACAGTTTTATCCAGGAAAAGGAAAATATTTTCTCCCTGGAAAAAAAAAAAAAAAAAGTATTCCAGTGGACAATGGCAGACTTACTGATAGCTAGCTTCCTAAGTACCAAGCAGTCTTCTAAATGCTTTGTCAGTGCTAACTCTTTTAATCCTCACCACACTCCTGGGAGGCAGATATTATTTTTAACTCCATTTTGAGGACCTATGAGGTTGCTGAGGTACAAAGAGTTTAACTAATTTGACAAAGGTCACAGAGCTAGTAAATACCCAAGTTAGGATTAGATATTTAGCAGTCTGATTCCATCAAGCTCCAAAGTTGGATGCATTCATTGAAAATTATGTAGTGAAATAACTGAAACTCCTCATGGCCATTTTAGAGGAAAAAGTGCTTGCGGGCATTAGGAATCATGAACATTCTATCCTCACTCCTTGGCACATAGTATAAGCAATCTCATTAATTGCTTGGGGGTCCTTACCTTCCAGTGATAACTAACCTAGGGAGCAAAGATCATGTTTCCAAAATTAAGCTGTAAGCTTCTTGCAATTAATGAGAGACAATTTCATACTTTTTTGCATAAATGTTGCATATGTAGGACCATAATAATCATCTGTGGTGATAACATGTGAATTTAAGGAGATTTCATGGGAAAAGACAATTATTTTTCTGCTAGTGATTCAAACTTGATTCAAGATAGGTTTTGAGTGAATTGTGAACATAGGCTTGATCTAAAGCTGGTGAAATATGCCTTGCATTTTCCATATTTTCTATTGCTACCTGGGATCTAATATTTACTGGGGTAGAGAGAAAACCAACAATTACCAAGCATCTTTTATATACCAGTTGATTTCATTGTAGGTTATTACCTTATAGAATTCTCATGAGAAAGATAATTGAAGTAATTGCCAGTATCTCCATTTGGCCGATTTTAACAATAACTAACATTAGTTGAGCACTTCCCCTGTGCCAGGCACTATTTTAATTTTTAAATGAATTCATTGATCCCTGTAATAATGTTATGAATTATTATTTATCTTATTTTACAGATGGGGAAACTGGAGCATTCACAGGTTAAAAACTTCCCCAATATTTTGCCATTTAGGACACGGCAATGTGGGTATTTGAAACCAGGAAGTCGCCAGGCGGGGTGGCTCAGCCAGGCGTGGTGACTCACACCTGTAATCCTACCAGTTTGGGAGGCCAAGGTGGGTGGATCACTTAAGGCCAGAAGTTCAAGGCCAGCCTAGCCATCATGGCAAAACCCCATTTCTACTAAAAATACAAAAATTAGCTGGGTGTGGTGGCAAGCGCCTGTAATCTCAGCTACTTGGCCGAGGCACAAGAATCGCTTGAACCCAGGAGGCAGAGGTTGCAGTGAGCCAAGATTATGCCCCTGCACTCCAGCCTGGGTGAGAGAGTGAGGCTGTGTCCAAAAAAAAAAAGTTCATGAACCCAGGAATTCTGTAGCAAAGCCCATATGTTCACCTATACTTCCTCACAGATGAAGTAAACTGGAATTCTGGATGTTCAAGATATGTTCATATCTAAGGGTCCTAGTAAAAGATGAAGGCTGGATTTGAAATCTAGTCCCTTGGACTTGTGTGCTTTTCTGTACACTCTCTCTTCCTGATCTAATGGAGGCACCCCACCCACACTTCCCCCAAAAGAACATACAGCTTTACTCCTAGGTCTCCTATTTGGGACTTCTATTTCAGTACCTTGAACATTGCAAAGACTATTCTGGTCATCTTCTCCTTGTACATTTATGAGTCAGAGATGCTAGCAGAACTTAATAAAAACTTCTCTTGTTCTTGGTTTTATATACAATAGAAAGTTGTTAGTGTTCTGTGTCTCAGGAGCAGAACTTCACTTCCACTTTTAATCAACACCTACATAGACTTTTAGAGTTCAAACTCTTAGCTGGTGTCCTAAATCAGACATAATTCACTCTTTAATAATCAAGGCCTGTCTTAACTAGATTGAGGGGAAGGACCTTGACTTGTTCTTCTTCATATCTGCTATAGCCATGTGCCTCAGTTGTGAGACTGGTTGAGAAGACATGGAATCTAGAACCAAGTGGAGTGGCATCATGAACTTAGCTACAGAGCAGATTCCAAGAGATGGCCAAGAATCTCCCTCACAATGTCCTAAGGGAACAACTGATACTCAAAATATTTAACAAACAGAAGGAACTCCCAACTAATCAGAATGGGCACCAGCTGCTAAAATGTATCATTGTGTGATGACTGAATATTCTTCCCGCCTAAAAGTGATACTAGTTATGGCATACTACTTAGGAATACTGGCTCTGGAATTAGATAACCTGACTTGAATCATGCTGCTATTTAACCTTAGGGCAATCTTCTTTGCCTGTCTGTACTCAATCCCCTTATCTTTAAAAAGCGTGTCAAAATAGTACTTTATAGGGTTGTTATAGGGCAATCATGAAAATTAAGTAAGCTAGAATAGACTAAGCACTTCGAATTCTGCCAAACACATAAATGCTCAGTAAATATTGGTTATTGTTAATTTCTTTAAACTACAGGGTCCAATCTGTGCAAGTAGCCCACCAGACAGAGGTGAAACCTGCAGTCAGATTGTCCAGAGATGTCCAGTGTCTGACCATTGTGAAGCAAAACCCCTGCAGGTCAGTCAAATAGGGACATATTCTTAGCCGCAGGAAGGAGGCTGGCTAGGTCTAGGAACAAAGGCATCTTACTCAAAAGGTTTCATGCAGGTTCAGCAGATGCTGGGCTTAAAGCAACAAGATTTACTCCAGAATCCCCCCACTGATGAGGGTGAGGCATGTGGCAAGGTCTTCTAACACAAACTTGGGGACTGGTTGGGGTGCTGATCTTTAAGCTGAGCATTATTGATGTCTATAGCTAAGAAGAGCTGGAGAGACAAGGACCTCCCTAAATTTCCCTACAAATTTAGATACTCAAGAGGACAGTGTTGATGATGTTGAAAGAATCATTTAGTTATTCATCCCATTAAAACATTTTCTTGAGGGCTTATTATGACCTAGGCACTGTGCTATTCAGAAAAGAATAAGGCTAACAATGGTCCAAAATGAATTGTATGCCATATTCCAAATTTATCATCTTTTAAAGCTTGTATTGACAGCCTAGAAAGGTAAATAGCTTTACTTTGTTAGGGAGCTTCTAGTTTCTACAAATTTATTTGTTTAGTATCCTAGATATCAGGGTAAGAAATATTTAGATTGTAAATTTCACACTCTGACCCCAAAGTTCTCAACCCAAAGCAGTACCTAACCTTCTAACACTTCTAAATTTCAATCAAAGAGCTTGGGTTTGAAAAAAAGCTTTAAAAAAGCTCCTCCTCCTTGAGAGTGCTAGTAATGTAGGGCAGATGTGATGAATAAAGCAGGAAGAAAAATATCCATCTTAGCACATTTCATTTCTTCCCTCAGAAAGATAATGACATACTGATTTTTTATTTCTCTAAGGTGAGAGCTAAAAGGTCTTAGAAAATAAACATGTAGCGCCTCTGTGGAGAAAAGCTTTGTTGATCTCTTTGGCTTCTCTCTCCTTCTTTTGGTGAGAAAGTATTTTTTTTAATAATGTGGTCTAGGAGGGAGTGTGTACTCTGCCTCTGTAGGTTCTAGTTTCATAATGGAGCCAGAGAGGTCGGAGACAAAGCAGATGCAGGATTCAGAGCTTCAGGCCAGAGATATCTGCAAGAGCCAGCACAGCACCCACCAGTTCAATTTCATGAAATTGAATTTTCCCACAGTGATAGATGCTTTAGAAATACAGGACCCCAGGTCAGCACTGCTCAACACACACACACATACACACACACACACTTTGTGCCTTTGTTCTTAACCCTTGGAATAGAGAGTAAAAGGTACATACCTAATTGAAAAAACTTTCTCTTCCTTTAGGCTCTGAATAAGCTGATTATCTCTTACTTGAAGGAGCAAACGCCATCATTTTCATAGTGTCATGCAGCAAATGGCCTCCCAGCAGGCGTGTAGTAGCTCAGCTTGAAACACAGCTGGTATTAGGTTCAAGAAGATGAAATTGAGAAAAGGAGTTCCATCTCCACCTTTAATCAGTGGCTCTCTGCAGCACCCACCTCAGCAGGTGGTCTGCGTTCTGTACTCACTTTTTCTCCCACTTGAGGGAAAATGGAAGGTGGTAATGAGAAGAGAAAGAAGACAACCGCAGGTGGCCAGTGACCCAGCCATCCTGGGACTATCACTTCCCTTTATTGTCTGCCTGACATACACATACTTTGCTTTTCTAATTTTAACTCTGTGAACTTCCCTGGAGTTGGGCCCTGGCAACAGATGTGCTAAAAGTTTTTAAATCCGTTCTAAACATCACAGTGCCCTAAGCAAAATAGTTACCACCAAAAATCATAAAGATAGAGAACAGAAACAGGAAATCCAAGCTCACAATATCCAAATCCTATTCACACATTCAAACAAATATTTGAGTATTAAATATCTATTGAGTGACCACTACAGGACAGACACGGATGGCCTTCACAAAAGTGAGGAAAATAGTGATAGCTCATGCCCAAAGGAGCTTGCATGGGAGAGACAGAACATAGGTCAAATGAGTGCATATTGCAACAATGTTTAGTGCTAACAAGGAGAAGTTCAAAGTGCCATAAAGGAAAATTTTAGAAGAAATTTATCTGGACTGAGGGGAGATGTACAGGATGAAGAGGAGTTACTAGAGGTGGAGGGTGGACGGAAGAGGAGCGTGCATTTCCAACAGAGAATGCAGGACAGGCAAATGTCCTGTGGTGGGAAGCAGCACCATGAGAACTGTAGGCAGGATGGAGTGGCTGGACCACTGAGGGCTGTGGGGAAATGGTATGAGATGAGGCTAAAGGGTTTTGTAACCTATGTTAAGGACCTGCGACTTAATCCTAGAAGCAGTGGAAAACCATTGAAGATTGTTTTTTGAGGGGAAAGGGGAAATGTTTTGCATTCTAGCAAGCTCTCTCTGGTTGCTTTAGTGAAAATAAACTATAGGCAGCCAAGGATACGGAGAATAGTTAGGTGGTTTCTGAAGAATTCCAGGCAAAATGGATGGTGGCTCTGGCTAGTGCTGACAGTAGAGATGGAGAGAGGTAAACAGAGCTTAGATGACTTTAAGAAGTAATTGGTATATTATTTTGGTATTCACAACTCCAATAACCATTTTTTACTCATTCATTCCTTAAAAAAATCATTTCTGAAATGCCTGCTATGAGCTAGACTGTGAAAGAATAATTAAAATGAATAAAGCTACAGTTCTAATTGGAAGACATTGCAAGGTTCCAATTAGCAGAGCAGTCAAGGACATGGTTTTGGAGTCAGATAAATACTGGCTTCAATTCTGATCATGCTTTTAACCAGCTGTGTATTGGTGGGCAGGTCAAAGACCCTGAGCCACTTTTATAAATGGAAATAAATGGTACCTACCTCATAGGGTTGTCGTGAGGAAAAAATGAGGTAATGCACATCAAATTAATGACAAGATGATTGCATTTAGAACATCGGGAAATATTTTTTGGAGATAGGATCTCTCTATGTTGCTCAGGCTGGTCTCAAAATCCTATGCTGAAGTGATCCTCCCGCCTCAGCCTCCAGAGCAGCTGAGACTACATGCGTGCACCACCACACCCAGTATAGAACATTTTTAATACAGAAAAGGTAGCTATTTTTCTGGGCTGTTAACAATTAAAGAATCAAAGATGCATAGACGTTGGTGTATTTGCAAATGTAATGACTTATTGGAAGGATACACGGATGTAAAATGGATACTTGGAGAGCCCATTCTAGTTGGGTAACATGAAGTCCCTGTAAGCCAGCCACCTATCCTAGAAGTTGTGCTATACTTCACACATCCTCTGTCCCAGATGTGTAAACTGCTAGAGAAGACAACTGCAACACAACCTGTGTTATATAAATATCTCCTTCCATATCCTCTGTAAACATTAGTCACAACATCCACTCATGTCTGTTATGGCTGCAAACAATATTATTACTTCCATCACTCAAAGGTAGCTATAAACTAATACATAGACCAAAACCTATACTAGCATACTGGTTTGACCTGCAAAACTTTGCTATTGTTATCTTTCTTATAAACAAAACACTGTATCAATGAATAACATTTTATATATAACTGCTAACAACTTTGAGTAATTCTGTCTTGGATGCTGATGCATCGATGAGTAGATTTGACATTGTTGACTGGCTGGTTGAAGTCAGACCCCCTCTATGTTTTGAGCAAGGAATCATTGAAGAAAATAAAGTTACCTTAGAAAAACTCCCTCCACCAACTTTTGCTCCATTCAAAAGCTTTTAGAGGAATTCATGTATATCAAAGTAACCACAGAACATTTCAGAATAAAAAAACTAATTTTGAAAGCAGTTTGAAAATCCCTGGAGCAATGGTACTGCCTATACTTAGTGTAGAAATGTTTATCAGGAAAAGAAGCCATCTGAAGTCCAAAGTTAAATAAACACTTTAACCAATAAAATCCATGTAGAAAAAAAAATCTGCCAAAAGGAACATTTATATATAAGGAAATTATATAAGCATTTCATAATTTATAGTTTCATTTTCCTTAACTTTATTTTAGTGATTAACTTTGGATTTAGTATGTTTTCAATGGAGTCTCAGAAACAGATCACAGATTTTAACCTTGATCCTATAGGAGATAAGGATTCTACTCACAAAGGCACACTTGTGACCATCACCCAGAGAAAATTTTAAGGCAGTGGTTTTCAACCTGTTCTCAGTATCCTAATAATTCTTCAGAGATGTCTCAGGGCTGCCATGGGGCTGGGGCAGGCTAGGAATTCCCCAGGTGAGTACAGCAAACTCTGGTCCCAATACCAGCGTCATCTGTTTTATTTGCTGGTCTTCAGCACTAAATTTCACTTGGAAAAAGTTTGCTTTTTTTTATTTTTTCTTTTTTATTTTTTGAGGCAGGATCTCACTCTGTTGCCCAGGCTGGAGTACAGTGCTGTGATCACAGCTCACTGCAGCCTTGAGTTCCTGGGCTCAAGCGATCCTCTCACCTCAGCCTCCTGAGTGACTGGGACTACAGGTGTATGCTGCCATACCGAGCTAATTTATTTGTTTTATATTATTTTGTAGAGAGGCAGGTTTTGCTTTGTTGCCAAGGCTCATCTCGAACTCCTAAGCTCAACCAATCCTCCCTCCTCGGCCTCCCAAAGTGCTGGGCATACGGATGTGAGCCACTGCACCCAACCAACTGCTTTAAAAAAAAAATTTTTTTTGAAAAATTATAGAATTAAGATTTCTGAAAAATACAGGTAAGGAAGCTGTCAGTTGAATGTCCCCAAAGCCTCAGATCTTTTTTTCCTCTATAACCATTCTCTTTTCTTCCTGTTATTCTTCTTGTCTTTCTTTCATCCCTTAGATTTTTTCTTTCTTTTTCTTCTCCTCCTTTTCCTACCATTTCTGTATGATAATAAAACACTTATTCAGTATTTAATAGCAGTGGTAAGCCTTGCTGATGATTTTTTTTGTATTCTGCAAATATTGATCTCTGAATATGTTTGCTGCTGGAAATTTAGCCTTGTTGTATTCAAGAAGATGCAGGTGCAAAAGATGTTAATGTGCACAGAAGCAAAGCAGCTATTAAAATAGGTTAGTAGAGGTCGGGCATGGTGGCCCACGCCTGTAATCCCAGCACTTTGGGAGGCCGAGGCAGGCGTATCACAAGGTCAAGGGATCGAGACCACCCTGGCCAACGTGATGAAACCCCGTCTCTGCTAAAAATACAAAAATTAGCTGGACATGGTGGTGTGTGCCTGTAGTCTCAGCTACTCGGGAGGCTGAGGCAGGAGAATCGCTTGAACCCAGGAGGCAGAGGTTGCAGTGAGCCAAGATCAGGCCACTGCACTCCAGCCTGGCGACAGAGCAAGATTCCGTCTCAAAAAAAAAAAAAAAAAATAGGTTAGTAGAATGCGGGTTACCAGAGAAATTTACAGCATAGGTTCTAGAGTCAGGCTACCTGGGTTAACAATATTCTCACCCAGCCATTTACTAGCTGTGTGATCTTGGGAAGGTTTCTTGATCCGTGAGCCTCAGTTACATTATCTATAAAATGAAGATGATATTATTCTCTACATCACCTGTCTATTGTGAAAAATAAGTGAGTAAAAACATACAAAAAAGCTGAGGACAGTACTTAGCCTGTGGTAACTATTCAATGAGTGTGTGTTTGTGTGTTTTAAATGTAAGATGTTTTAAACACAAGAAAGCCTGGTCATAGTAAAGAATTCTGGAAATCAGTGATATATCAGCTGAGTTTTGGAGAATGACCAGATAATTATCTTCAGCAGACAAAGAGGGGGAAATGATATTTCAGGAAGTGGGACCAGCATCCCAAAGACCCTAGAGAGAAAGAACGTGTCATTCACTGGCTGCTAATATGAACAATAACAATAACCAGAAAACTGCTAAAACATGAAAAGCACAAAGGTATAGAACAAATATTTTCCTTTAATTCCTTTATTTTAGAGTAATAGCTGAATAATTTGATGGTTTCTTTGTAGACTCTTTGTAAAGCCTAGATTTTAGAGCAATGAATTCATTTTTAAAATGCCTTATAACCTACTTGTTTTTCTGGCTATAAATTAATTATGAACATTTGTCCATGTCATTATTCTTCTACAACACAATTTTAATAGCTACATAGCATTCTATAATATCTTTAAAACTTAAGGGTATTTCAGCCTATAAATAGCATACTACTTCATACATTTTTAACACATATTAAATATTTTCTTTGAATAATATCTTAGAACTGGAATTGCTGGGTTAAGAAGCATGCCCGTTTTAGGGTTTTGATATATATGTCCTGTCAAGATACCCTTCGGAAAGATCATGTGTAAATAGAGAATGTTTTGATTGTCCTTTCTGGTAATGCAAGCACTTGCTAAAGGATATGCATCTCTCCAAGAGTAAGAAATTTTAGGCCAAGCGCAGTGGCTCCTGCCTGTAATCCCAGCGCTCTGGGAGGCCAAGGCAGGTGGATCACGAGGTCAAGAGATTGAGACCATCCTCACCAACATGGTGAAACCCCGTATCTACTAAAAATACAAAAATTAGCTGGGCATGGTGGCATGCACCTGTAGTCCTCACTACTTGGGAGGCTAAGGCAGGAGAATCACTTGAACCCTGGATGTCGAAGTTGCAGTGAACAAAGATCGCACCACTGCACTCCAGCCTGGCAACAGAGCAAGACTGTCTCAAAAAAAAAAGAAAGAAAGAAATTTATGGGTGAGAACTGAGTGCATACATAACAGAGTGCACACATAATATGCAATTAATTAATTGTGGGACACAGCAATTAATCTCATGTCCAGAGAAAAAGATAAGACAAAAGCATGAGCTCCGGAAGATTAAGATTATCATGGGCTTTTGCTTGGTACTCTGCCAGGAGGCAAAAGGAAAATGAAGTGGCTCTGCTTTCAGATATTTACTCAGTTTTGTGGTATTTCTGGTAATATATTTCTTTCATAAGAAAGTATTCCTCCTATTTGGTAAACTGATTTACATCACCCCAAGTCCATTCCCATTAGTGACTACAGTACTGTCTGCCTTATTCCTGCTCACTTCTCACTTTCATTGGAACTGTGTATGAAAATGGATTTCCACCTTTGCTATTAGGTAGGTCTTAGAACTAAATCTTTTTTTTTTTTTTTTTTAAGTAAAAAGCACTTTTGCAGCACAAGGTGGAAATTCAGTGAAGACCATACTGGAGGTTGGTGGGATGAGGAGGTTCTAATATGTGTTAGGCTTTTACTATAGACCATCCATTTGCATACATATAGCATTTAATCCCCCAATAACTCTCTAGGTAATTATTATTATAACTATCACCATGTTACCAAAGGTGTAATCAAAACTCAAAGACATTAAGTGATTTAGTGATCACGCTGCAAATAACTAGCAGAGCGGGCATTCTGACCTCACTCTGCTGGTTGCCAAAGCCCAGCCTGCTTCCACTGCCTCCAAGAAATAGAAACACCCCAGATTAGAATTCCTCACAAGCTCAACCGGGCACGGTGGCTCACACCTATAATCCCAGCACTTTGGGAGGTGGAGACTGGAGGATTACTTGAGGCCAGGAGTTCGAGACCAGCCTGACCAACATGGCAAAACCCCATCTTTAATAATAATACAAAAATTAGCCAGGCATGGTGGCGTGTGCCTGTAGTCCCAGCTACTTCGGAGGCTGAGGCATGAGAAACACTTGAACCTGGGAGACGGAGGTTGCAGTGAGCCGAGATCGTGCCACTGCACTCCAGCCTGGGTGACAGAGCTAGACTCCATCTCAGAAAAACAAAACAAAACAGAAAAAAAAAAAAAAAGAACTCCACGCAAGCTTATTCTAGGAGATGTTTCAGGGGATTTTGAATTTTTCCACTGTTCCTTGGGATAATCAAGAAGCCTAGATTGACATATTAAAACAAATACTTGGTCTAAAAAACAAAGACCCGAGGGAGAAGAGGTTTGGTGCTTTGAGAAAGGCCAGGTGACAAAAGCAACAGGGAACCTGGCACAGAGTAGGTGTTCAGGTGTTCAGTTACTATCTGTTTGTTAAAGGAGACATTGCAAAGTACAGATTGTTTTCAGATCGTTGCTTTACTCTTTTCTTTCTCCATGATACCACCAGCCGGCCACTCATTGGGATGATAAATGAAATTAGAATATGATTTGGGGGTTGGTTTCAGATCCTAGCTTCAAGGCTTCTGGCTAGAGTCCTGTGTAGAACTTCAGATCAATCTTGGCCAAGACAAATCATATGCATTTGAAACCCAGAGCTGAATGGACTGTCTATGAGTGTGTGTGGTGGTATTTAGGGGAGGGGGGCAGTAATGTTCAGATTAGGATGTGTGAGGAGGACACTTGCTTCCTGATGCTACTCTTGACAGTATAGGGAGACTTCTTCTCTGGGTTGCCTCCGCAGGCTGAAGGACTGTGTTGAGCTCTGACCTTAAAACAAACTATCCTTCTTGTTCCCAGGACCTTGACTTCCCTCTGAACCTAGGCTACATCCTTAAGAAGGAAATGGAAGTCCAAAACAGACTTCCAAGAGGTGGGGTTTCACCATGTTGGCCAGGCTGGTCTCGAACTCCCGACCTCAGGTTATCTGCCCACCTCAGCTTCCCAAAGTTCTGGGTTTACAGGCGTGAGCCACTGCACCCCGCCCTTTTGACATGTTTTGTTTTCTAAAAAACCACCAGATGGGGATCAAAGGCAAGTAATTCATCATCACGGGTGTTGAAAGCTTAGGAGCCAATAAAATTTACTAAAGTGGTGGCGGAAGGGCACTACAGATGTAGACTCTCCCTAATCTAAAAATAAAATATTGCAACAGGAGACAAACTTTAGAGTGCATGCAAAGCGGGCAGTGGCAGATACTTTGTATATATCAATGCTAGTGTCACAGAGGTTGTAAGCTCAAATGCCTTTGTACCAGGCCCTCAGGTTAATGTACGAAGTTGTAAAACACCTGTCTCTGACACTTGTAAACCGTTGTTTTACAACTGAGTACGGGGTATGTGTGTCATGGAGTGTATGTGCCTGATGTTCAGATGGAAGAAAAAAATAAATGAACATTTCTTTCCCTAAATTTTTCACTGGAAGAATTAGGAAACGGGGATAGTCTTCTCATGTATTCTTATACATACTCAACAGACATATTTTAGCTCAATGAAAAGATTCGAGAGGCCGAAGTGGCAGATTGCTTGAGCCAGGAGTTCAAGACCAACCTGTGCAACATGGTGAAACCCTGTCTCTACTAAAAATACAAAAAATTAGCCATATCTGTAGTCCCAGCTACTCAGGAGACTGAGGTGGGAGAATCACCCGAGCCCAGGAAGTCAAGGCTACGGGGAGCCACGATTGTACCACTGCACTCCAGCCTGAGTGACAGAGCAAGATCCTGTCTCAAAAAAATTCAATGGCTCATGCCTGTAATCCCAGCACTTTGGGAGGCCGAGGTGGGCAGCTCACGAGGTCAGGAGTTTGAGACCAGCCTGTCCAAAATAGTGAAACCCCATCTCTACTAAAAATACAAAAAATTAGCAGGGCGTGGTGGCAGGTGCCTGTAATCCCAGCTACTTGAGAGGCTGAGGCAGGAGAATTGCTTGAACCCAGGATCCAGAGGTTGCAGTGAGTCGAGATCATGCCATTGCCCTCCAGCCTGGGCGACAGCGTGAGACTCCGTCTTAAAAAAATAAATGAATAATAGAAATAAATAAATAAAAGACTAAAGAATTCCTCATGCAAAATCAACTTAAACAAATTATTTACTTTCACAGGCTTAGATTAGACACTGAACCACAGCAGGGACAATTGAGAAAGTTGTGTAATAATGGAATGAAGCATTCTACATGTTTTTCATTTGGTGAGTACCTAAGTCATAAGTGAACAAAGTGACAGAAAATGGCATGCCAATATCTTCAACATTTTCATTTAATTAAAATTGTTTTTGCTATTGTTTACTCTCTGTATTATGGAATTTGTCAAATACAAAAGCAGAGAAAATAATATAATGAAATCTCAGGTGCACAACAACCAATTTCAACTAATGTCAACATTTTGCCATTATTTTTATTTCATCAGTACTTACCTCCCCCCATCAACATACACACAAAAAATTGTTTTTTTATTTTGCTAGACTATATTAAAGCAAATCTCAGAAATAGAATTATTTCACTATAAGTACCCCACTATGTATGGCTGACAGACAGGACCTTTGACTTTATCATAACCTAACACTGTTATTACACCCAACAAAATTTTTTTTCAATTTCCTAACATCATGTAATTCCCAGCCTATGATTGATTTTCACTGGTAATCTTTTTATAATCAAAGATTCACATATTGAATTTTAACAATATGATTCTTAAGTCTCTCTTAATATATAGGAGTTCTCCCTCTTTCTTTGTTTTCTTATCATTTATCTGCTGAAGAAAGCAAATCATTTGTCTTGTAGAATTTCTCACATTCTGGATTTGGCTGATTGCATCATCATGGTGGCATTTAACGTCTTCTTCTATGCTTTGTAATTCTTGGTACCAGAGCAGAGGTCAGCAAACTGTAGGCAGGGTACCAGCTGCCTGTTTTTGCACATAACGTTTCTTTGGAACACAGCAACATTCATTTCTTTATGTGTTGTCTATGGCTGCTTTCAGGCTACTATAGCAGTTAAATGGTTGTAACAGAAACCATATGGCCTCTAATGCTGACAATATTTCCTACCTGGCCCTTCAAGAACAAGTTTGACAGCTCCTGATCTAGAGGTTTGAATAAACTCCATGGCTTCTCTGAGTTCCAAACAAATTCCTTCATCCCCCCCATTGTGTAGCAGCAATACCAGCACCTCATAGGAATTAGGGTTCAATATACCAACAAGCTTAGCCACTTTATGTGCTCGATGGGTTATGCACATGAGGAGCCCCAAGTGGCCAGGTGGCAGTCATGGCTTCCAACTTATAACACTGCGTACAGGCACGTCCTAGAAGAGGCATTTTCACTCCTATGAGAAAGAGGACCTCCACCCAGCAGAACTTAAAGTTGTGAGGACCACCTAAGCATCCCACTATAGAAAGAGTAAATTCCCCAGCTGAGTCACTGAAAGTAAAGAGGTGACACTTACTTCCATCTCGTTTCCTGGATCCATATATTCTAGCTATTGAGAGCACACCATCATATATTAGCCACTGATCTGTTTAACACATGCTGGACATCCCCGGATGGTGCTATCCCAGTGCTAATGCTTTATTTAGTCTAGCCTTCCCAAGCTCATGCCAGTGCTACTTGGGCACCCACTTCTGGGTACTAGAGTAAATAGTATAATCATTGAATCCTGTGGTCATGTGCCCATTGTTGCACTTCCTTTTCAAGCCTAAAAAAATGTTGTATTAGATATCATACAGCAGGTTATGACTTCCACAAGCTGCCAGAGCATGTTGCTGGCACAGATACTGCAGACAGCAAAGTCACACCATTCTTGCAGTAGGTATGAACTCCTGTGAAGACAAATTACTCATCACTCCACATGAAAAAGTGTCCAAAAAGTGTCCAAAGTGAACACTCCACCTGCTGGCTAATGGGTCCAGGTTGGTAAATTCTGTAAACAGAATTTGAAGGACTGGCTATATAGTTTGAGAGGCCCTGTGCAAAATGAAAAGGGGTGTGTGTGTGTGTGTGTGTGTGTGTGTGTGTGTGTGTGAGTGTGTGTGTGTACAACTCCACCACACACACAAGCCTTTTCATTTTGCACAGGGCCTCTCAAACTACATAGCAATGAAAAGTTGTGGGGAGGGTTGTTACACACACACCCCTTTTCATTTTGCACAGGGCCTCTCAAACTATATAGCCAGTCCTATGGCTGGTCTCCCTCAGAATTGGAAATAGGTCAACCCTGGAGAGAAAAAATCCATGCAGTTGGCCCCAAGAATATCTATTCCTGCCATGGCCCAGATGTTCATGGACCCATTGCTCAAGCACTGACATGGCTAAGGATTGAAGCTGACTTGACATCTACAGGATGAGTCTTTTCATCCACCTGCTAGTTGAGAGCCACCTCAGGTACATATTAATACTGTGGATGGGAATTCAGTTATACCTTTGTGTCAATATAAGCTCTCTACATGCAAACTCACCTTTCTTTCCTGGGGAACTTTGCTGCCAGGGAATATATCAGCTAAGACTGTCAATTCATCGAAGTGTTAATGACCACAAAACTCAAAAAGGAAGAGGTCAAATATGTTCCCTTTGTTCCCAAGAAACTTAAAGACTTCTATTGACTTCTTCGCTGGAGATAAGTCATGTGCTTTCCAAGAGGTAGCCACAGCCAAGTTTCAAATAAACCCTATTATGCCTTCCTTCAATGGGTACAATCTTGACTGACATTTACATAAGTAAGAGAGACAAGTGACCCCTCCCAGAGCAATCTCTGTTCCTAACGGTGCCTTCCATCTGTACCCCTGGAGATATTAGAACTGGAAACCTTTAAATGGCGTCTTTTCTTGCATAAAATAAAGAGCCCTCAGCTAGAAGCATCCCGTTACAAGATCACCAAGGTATGATAAGCCATGCTATAGAGTGTATTTCATTCCAAGAGGAGAATCAGAACTGAACAGTTTTAAGTAGAGGAGAGACTTTGATTAGATTTTTATTTGGGGGAAAATAACTGCTGTGTGGAAGTTGATGTTTAGAACAGCATCATTGGAAGGTAAGATGCCTTTGAGGAAGCTGTTGGAAATTATAGTGGGCCAGACTAGAGTTGTGACAGTAATGATAGAAATACGTAAATTGAATGAAGAGATTTAATCTAGTGGACTTATTTGTATATGGGACATGAGGGAGAAGCAGGGGTCAACACGGACACCCAGCTTTTCAAGTTCGACAAGGATGAATGCTAGAGTTAGCCACTTACACTAGGAACACAGAGGGAGAGAAGGGTTGGTGGGAAACACAGATGATTATCAACTTTTTGGGATGCCTTGGGTATGATGCAGATCTGGATTGAAACCGGGTCTCCCTCCATCACAGTCCAGGCCCTCTAATGCAACATAGGGAGCACTCCCATGGAGATGTCCAGAGGACAGCTGGATGAATGGGCCTGGGACTGAGGAGAACTGTCTGGCTGAGACATGAATCTGTGCATCATCAGAAAATGGATAACACCTAAAGCTATGGAAACGGAGGAGCTCTTCCAGGGAAATTGCGTAGATTGGAGAAATAAAAAGGCATGTATCTGGCCCCAGGAAACACCAGAATAAAGGCGGATGAGTCTCCATAGGAGGCTAAGAAAGAGTAGCCTGAGAGGTATGGAGACCATGAGAGTCTTACTTCAGAGAAACCAAGATGACATAAGATTTAAAGGAAGAAAGCGTTGTCAACAGAGTCAAATGCTGCCAAATGAAGAAATAAGAACTGCAGCAAGGAGCCACTTTTCAGTTTAAATGCCTTCAAAGACTCGTGTTTCTTTATTGAGCAATATTCATGAGCATGATATCTGGGTCAGAGTTCACTCAGGGATACAGAACACATTATGTTTGTTAAAGAGAAGGCATTTGGTGCAAGGAATGGGTCACACGAGTGCTGGAAGGCTGGAAGAACAAGAGGGCCCACTGCAATGGCCTAGAGAACAAGAACTGCAGGAAGCAACTGCAACTCCTAGGAGTGAGGAATCCAAAAGGGAGAGATGGTGTTTCCAGAATGAAGAGCTGGGGAGAAGTTCCAGGGGCCTGGAGCTCAGACTTCTTGGAGGAAGCTCTGGAAAGCTGGTGCTCAGACCACTGAGGAAGAAGAATCCAGCCAGGGCTTGGATTACGAAGGGATTTTAAAGCCCATCTGGTGAAGGACAATAGCATGGCCTGTTCACTGACTGCCAAAGAAGGGCGACCCAGCTGCTGCTGGCAACTTAGGGACATGGAGAGGCTGGAGCCAACTGTCTGTGGCTCTAGAGAAACAAGGACAGGAATAGAAAAACAGGAAGTCCATTTCCCCCTTCTCTCACTTCTCAGCCACTTTCTAGTGCCTCACATTGGCAAAACCTAAGGAAAGCAGCTAGCAAAGGAGTTCAGGAAATGCGATTTGCAAAGTCCCAGGCCCAGTTGCCGAGAGATAACAGATTTTTAAGTGCCAGCATGTAAGACCCTATCCAATCTGCCCCATAAAACAAAGTAGCTTGAGCCATGAAATTCAGCATTACTATCCACCAGACATAAAAACATGAGCAAGTTACATGCATCTAAGCTGCTATTTCCTCTCCTATGAAACAAGAATTCAATAGTACATGTCTTCTATTGCACAACATACTCGATCCTGAAAAATCTCACATTCTACAAAATCACACTAAAAATAAAGGACTAAAGGGAAAAAAATGAAATTGAGCATATCTCTCAAAAGCTGTGAAACTTTGCAACCAGACAGAAAAACAATAGCTGGAATCTCTGGAGATAACTTGGACGATCCAGGCAGGCTGCTCAGCACAGTTGAAGGCTGCTCAGCACAGTTGAAGGCTGCTCAGCACAGTTGAAGGCTGCTCAGCACAGTTGAAGGCTGCTTCAGGGGCTATCAAAAAAGCTCAGAGTTATAGAGAGGAGATGGTATCATGTAGGCACTAAGAAAATGCAGATAGAAGTGGAGCTCTGAACCAGAGGGGCTGCAGTGAATGTAGACAGAGGGGGACATGGACCTGCCGAGAGCCAGGATCTTGCGTAAAGCTGGCTTCTCTAGAGAGGGAGCCCCATGGCAGACTCTCATTTTTAGTTTTCTTAAAATAGAGCAGTAAGGGCCCTGAGTCTAAGCCACAGTTGAGCTGAGGGCTTTCTTATTTCCTGCTGAACGTTCTGATTTTATTCCTGCTTTTCTAATTCCCCTAGCCTTGCGGGGTGGGGTGGGGAGACTATCTGAACCAACCCAACTTCATTATACTGAAATCATTCCCTTATTTTCCAATCAAGTATAAGCTAACTGTTGTTACAGAAGCATACATTGTAGCAGAACAAACCTTACCCATATTAGTGTTTCCTGAGAAGTAAACATGAAAACCCATGAAAAGTGCTAAGCAGAATACAAGGAAGAAATTTATGTTTGTGCTGTTGTTCTTATGCCCCCTGCATCTTCTTCCACTGCTTCCTCACATGCAGCCTAAACTATGTGAAGTAGCACCTGGCATGTATTCTTGCAATTTCATGCAACTGCTTGGTTGCCTCTCCTAAAATGTCTACCAGTCTCCTAGCCTCGATTTCTACCCTCAAGGTGTCTGGTTAATTCCTATTCCTTCTCTGCCTTAGCCTAAAGAAGCCTCTGACCCTCTCTGTCCTAGACTCCTAGAGAGCCTTCGTCATCCCTCTACAGCACTTACACCACTGCTGACTGTGTCTCCAACAGGAGGTGGGGCTACTGGAGCGCAAGCACTGCATCCGATTCTCATGTCTATAGCCTCAGTGTCAACTACAGTGCCTGGAACCACCAAGTTTGGCTGTTGACAACGTTATCCCACAGGGAATAGTCAATGATAACCTGGGATTAGACTGCAGAAGGGTTTATACACCTACTTTTAGAATTCAAGTATTATTTGGTCAATACCAGAGAACTCGCAAATGTTTTTAAAAAGGCAGTCAAAACTGGCCCTCGGATGAATGAATGCAGCATCTCTAGGTCAGATGGACTGGATGAGGGCAGACTGGGGGTGTGAAACCTCAGAAGGCTCATGCTGTGAGCAGAGCAGAGGTGATGGGGGTAAAACAGGGAGCCCATAGAGGGAAGGAGGGGAGAAGGGAGGGCCTCAGATGGAAGCTTCAGAACTTGGCAATTGATAAGATGGGGAGAAGACTCCACAGCAACTCTCATATTTTATGCTTAGGATTCTGGAAGAATATTCACCCTCTTTCAAAATGGGAATAGGGGAAGAAAAAGCTTATTGGGAGTGAGAACTTGAGCGTGATTTTGCTCATCTGGTATTTCACTTGGTAAGGTAGAGACCCAAGTTTTAGTCCCTCTCAGCCCAAGTTAAGCTGTTGGTTAGTAAGTCTTTTTGTTTGTTTGTTTTGTTTTTTGTGATAGAGTCTCGCTCTGTCACCCAGGCTGGAGTATAGTGGTGCGAGCTCGGCTCACTGCAACCTTCGCCTCCTAAGTTGAAGCAATTCTCCTGCCTCAGCCTCCTAAGTAGCTGGGATTATAGGTGTGTGCCACCATGCCTGGCTAATTTTTGTATTTTTACTACAGAAGAGGTTTCACCATTATAGCCAGGCTGGTCTCGAACTCCTGGCCTCAAGTGATCTGCCCACCTCAGCGTCCCAAAGCGCTAGGATTACAGGAGTGAGCCACCACTCCTGGCTGGTTAATAAGTTTTAAATGTCAGTGTGCACAAATCTTTCCAGTGGCAAGAAAAAAAAAAGCAACAACAACAAAACCACACCTCTGTGTTCCTCCTCCTTTTCTCCTTTGACTTAATACTGAACAAACAATGTCGGTTTCTAGCCACTTGCTTGTCAAAATTTTGTGTGGTGGTAGAAAGAGAGATTGGAATGAGGACAAGACAATTACCATGATAGGGGAGGACTAGGACAGAAGTAGTGGCCAGAGATGAAGGGTGATGCAGGATTAAGGATGAATAAGAACAACAGCCAGTGCCAGATCTCTGGACTCCAGCACCAGCCATATGTCATCCCAGCCAAGTGAGTGACGACATCAGAGAAGCCAAATAGCCCTGTCCTCTATCTTCAAACTGCTGGGGTGAGCGAGCTGCAAGAATAAAACAGAGCTGACCTTTCTTTTCTGTTTCCCATCTCCTGCCTTGGAGATTCTGGTCCATTCTACTTACAACCAAAAGTCCCAGATGTATACAGCC
This sequence comes from Homo sapiens, assembly GCF_000001405.40. Taxonomy (NCBI): domain Eukaryota; kingdom Metazoa; phylum Chordata; class Mammalia; order Primates; family Hominidae; genus Homo; species Homo sapiens. Next base: position 65,688,797 of record NC_000001.11, on the reverse strand, counting down.
AGAGTCTCTGATTAAGAGACACTCTTTCTTTTTTTAATTTAAAAGATACTAAGTAATAAATATTCACCATTTAAAAAAAAACTATAAAATGCAGATAAGGAAAAGCACTAATCACCTTCAGATAACTACTGTTGGTATTTAGCCTTTCATCACAAATTTTATATTCTTTACATTCTTTGTATATGTGTGACTATGTGCACACATACATTATTTCTAATGTTTTTTCCAAGATTTATGGTGGAAAAATAATGATAGACTTCTAAAGTCATTAACAGATAGTTTCCTATCCTACTGCACAATTTGGTGTCTGGATGCTCTGCTGACCTTAGCAACACTTGTTTAAAGTCCCAGCATAGTAAGGTCAGCCGCCGCCTGCCTGCTGTGTCTGCAGACTTTATAATTCTGTACCTACTCCCATATTAGGGGGCTCTCTCTTGCTTAAGTCCATACGCAGAATTTCGTTAGCCAGAGGAGTCCTGAATTGCAAGTGAGAAGACCCAAATCTTGGTACTATTTTAGCTTCTAAATGTGCTCCAACTTCAGGGACTTCAGGAGCCAAGCATCTCCTGAGGGGCCTCTGGTGAAGGGAGGGGGAGAGGGAAGAGCTCTCATTTGGAAAATGCCTACTATTTCCCCGTCAGGGACTGCTGGGCCCTCCCTATCAGCCATCCATCTACTTTATTACCGAAGCAAGGGGAGGCCTCTGCCCACATCCTGTTTGAAGGCTGGAACTTCAGACCTTAGGGCACAGGTCTTTTACTCAAAACTTTTCAGATAATGAAAGAATTGAGATAAGCCAAGAATGTCAACACAAGCTCCTAGAAAACAATTGCAGATGTCACCGTAGTCACTCTGCAGGGCTGCACTGGCAAAGATCCCAGAGCACTGACCCTGTGCCCAAAGTTTCCTTCTGCCTTCTCTGAGATGACCAGCAGGTGGCAGCAGAGCACAAGGCAAAGCAGAAGGACGGTTGTCGGGAGCTCTGGAAAGACAAGAGATTGCAAACACTATACTTTTAAAAATTTGATTGATATGTTTTCTTCACTTCACAAGTAACTTAATGGGTTCAACTCCGATTGGCCACCCCATGGTTGTTTCCTGACCCCTTGGAGATTTAGAGCCTAGAAGTCTGTCCTCACCCACTGTCCATGCGAGTTTGTACAGCATGAAAAGTTCTCATCTCCAAGTTAAGAAGTAATCTTTCTATGAGAAGCACACTGTTTGACAAGCTGGTTTTGATATTTACATGCCTTCAGGCCTAGACTCCTAGTCTGCCTCTTTTACGTACTACTTCTGAGTTATTTGAAAAGTTACTAAGTCCCCTATTTTCTCAGTGGAGATTTTAAGCATCATCAGGATTTAAATGAGGATGTGTGTTTAAAAGACCAGCATGACACTTGCCACATGGAAATTCCTCAGCACATTTCAGTTATCTCACCCCTACGAAGAGAAGTGAGGCAAATAAAGAGAATCTATTATGGGGAATGCTGTCATTTCAAATAGTTATAAAGAGGTAGAGAAAATGATTCTCAAACCAGAATTTTCCTCGTTAATTCATTTTTAACTATCTTGTGAAATACAAGCAATGTCAACGCTTCGTTTTCCTAAACATTTCACTCAAATCGACTTCGTTCAATTACATGCAATAGAAATTTACCAAAGGTCTATTATGTACCAGGCATTATCACAGACACTGTAGGTCCAAATATAAGTAAGACACTGGTTGGTGCAGCTCTCTGGAAATGGACAGTACAGGTATAGCAGGAAAGCAACAGAAGTAGTAAAATCAATATAGCATGCCCAGAGAGCCCCACTCTCAAGACCCAGGCACTGGGTCTAAATGACTAAGACTGAGGCTGATTCAAGACAACAGAGAATGTCCACCATGAACTCAGAATCCAGTCACAAACAAGAGCAGCCTACCACTAAAAGAGAAGCAAATAAGTGGAGAGTCACTGTGTGTGGCTCAGCCCTGCAGGGATGGCTGAAAGTTCAGGGAGGAGCCAAAACACAGAAAACCCTAGCAAGGTAAGAGCATCAAGGTTAGATTCCATCTAACCCTCCTGACTTTCATTTTCGACACTTCATTCTTCCACTCTGAGAAACCTAGCTTTGATCATTTACAATGTGTTTATTTATTTATTTATTCATTCATTTATTTTGTTCAAGCTTAACATCCAAATTAATTAGTTTCAAAACTTCTAACCCATACTCCCATGAGAAACAAATGTATCAAGTAAATACTACCCAGCCATAAAAAAGAATGAAACTGTCATCTGCAATAACATGGATGGAAAGGGAAGTCATTATGTTAAGTGAAATAAGCCAGGCACAGAAAGATGTTCTCACATGTCCTCACTTATTTGGAGGAGCTAATAATTAAAGCAATTGAACTCATGGAGATAGAGAGTAGAATAATGATTACCAGAGGCTGGGAAGGCAGTGGGGGAGGGGAAGTGGGGATAGTTAATGGGTACAAAAAAATGCTTAGAAAGAGTGAATAAGAGGAGGTTCCAAGATGGCCAAATAGCAACAGCTCCAGTCTGCAGCTCCCAGCGTGAGCAATGCAGAAGACAGGTGATTTCTGCATTTCCAACTGAGGTACCAGGTTCATCTCACTGGGGCTTGTCAGACAGTGGGTGCAGCCCATGAGCAGGGCAGGGCATCACCTCACCTGGGAAGCACAAGGGGTCAGGGAATTCCCTTTCCTAGCAAAGGGAAGCCGTGACAAACAGTACCTGGAAAATTGGGACACTCCCACCCTAATACTGCACTTTTCCAACGGCCTTAGCAAATGGCACACCAGGAGATTATATCCCGTGCATGGTTCAGAGGGTCCCACACCCACGGAGCCTCACTCATTGCTAGCACAGCAGTCTGAGATCAAACTGCAAGGTGGCAGTGAGCCTGGGGGATGGGCATCCACCATTGCTGAGGCCTGAGTATGTAAACAAAGCGGCTGGGAAACTCAAACTGGGTGGAGCCCACCGCTGCTCAAGGAGGCCTGCCTGCCTCTGTAGACTCCACCTCTGAGGGAAGGGCATAGCTGAACAAAAGGCAGCAGAAACTTCTGCAGACTTAAACGTCCCTGTCTGACAGCTTTGAAGAGAGCAGTGCTTCTCCCAGCACAGAGTTTGAGATCTGAGAACAGACAGACTGCCTCCTCAAGTGGGTCCCTGACCCCCAAGTAGCCTAACTGGGAGACACCTCCCAGTAGGGGCCGACTGACACCTCATACAGCCAGATGCCCCTCTGAGATGAAGCTACCAGAAGAAGGATCACACAGCAACATTTACTGTTCTGCAATATTTGCTGTTCTTCAGTCTCCACCGGTGATACCCAGGCAAACAGGGTCTGGAGTGGACCTCCAGCAAACTCCAACAGACCTGCAGCTGAGAGTCCTAACTGTTAGAAAGAAAACTAACAAACAGAAAGGACATCCACACCAAAACCCCATCTGTATGTCACCATCATCAAAAACCACAAAGATGGGGAGAAACCAGAGCAGAAAAGCTGAAAATTCTAAAAATCAGAGTGCCTCTTTTCCTCCAAAGGAACACAGCTCCTCGCCAGCAATGGAACAAAGCTGGATGGAGAATGACTTTGACGAGTTGAGAGAAGAAGGCTTCAGACGATCGGTAATAACAAACTTCTCCGAGCTAAAGGAGAATGTTCAAACCCATCACAAAGAAGCTAAAAACCTTGAAAAAAGATTAGATGAATGGCTAACTAGAATAAACAGTGTAGAGAAGACCTTAAATGACCTGATGGAGCTGAAAACCATGGCACGAGAACCACATGACGCATGCACAAGCTTCAATAGCCGATTTGATCAAGTGGAAGAAGGGTATCAGTGATTGAAAATCAAATGAATGAAATGAAGTGAGAAGAGAAGTTTAGAGGAAAAAGAGTAAAAAGAAACAAACAAACCCTCCAAGAAATATGGGACTACGTGAAAAGACCAAATCTACGTCTGATTTGTGTACCCGAAAGTGACAGGGAGAATGGAACCAAGTTGGAAAACACTCTTCAGAATATTATCCAGGAAAACTTTCCCAACCTAGCAAGCAGGCCAACATTCAAATTCCGGAAATACAGAGAACGCCACAAAGATACTCCTTGAGAAGAGCAACTCCAAGACACATAATTGTCAGATTCACTAAAGTTGAAATGAAGGAAAAAATGTTAAGGGCAGCCAGAGAGAAAGGTCAGGTTACCCACAAAGGGAAGCCCATCAGACTAACAGTGGATCTCTCAGCAGAAACTCTACAAGCCAGAAGAGAGTGGGGGCCAATACTCAACATTCTTAAAGAAAAGAATTTTCAACCCAGAATTTCATATCCAGCCAAACTAAGCTTCATAAGTGAAGGAAAAATAAAATCCTTTACACAAGCAAATGCTGAGAGATTTTGTCACCACCAGGCCTGCCTTACAAGAGCTCCTCAAGGAAGCACTAAACATGGAAAGGAACAACTGATACCAGCCACTGCAAAACATGCCAAATTATAAAGACCATCGAGGCTAGGAAGAAACTGCATCAACTAATGAGCAAAATAACCAGCTAACATCATAATGACAGGATCAGATTCACACATAACAATATTAACCTTAAATGTAAATGGGCTAAATGCTCCAATTAAAAGACACAGTTAAAAGACTGGCAAATTGGATAAAGAGTCAAGACCCATCAGCCTGCTGTACTCAGGAAACCCATCTCACGTGCAGAGACACACATAGGCTCAAAATAAAGAGATGGAGGAAGATCTACCAAGCAAATGGAAAGCAAAAAAAAAAAGCAGAGGCTGCAATTTTAGTCTCTGATAAAACAGACTTTAAACCAACAAAGATCAAAAGAGACAAAGAAAGTCATTACATAATTGAAAAGGGATCAATTCAACAAGAAGAGCTAACTATCCTAAATATATATGCACTCAACACAGGAGCACCCAGATTCATAAAGCTAGTCCTTAGAGACTTACAAAGAGACGTAGACTTCCACACTATAATAATGGGAGACTTTAACACCCCACTGTCAACATTAGACAGATCAACAAGACAGAAAGTTAACAAGGATATCCAGAAATTAAACTCAGCTCTGCACCAATCGGAGCTAATAGACATCTACAGAACTCTCCACCCCAAATCAACAGAATATACATTCTTCTCAGCACCATACCACAATAATTAATAGCCTACCAACCAAAAAACATCCAGGACCAAATGGATTCACAGCCGAATTCTACCAGAGGTACAAACAGGAGCTGGTACCATTCCTTCTGAAACTATTCCAATCAATAGAAAAAGAGGGAATCCTCCCTAATTCATTTTATGAGGCCAACATCATCCTGATACCAAAGCCTGGCAGAGACACAACAAGAAAAGAGAATTTTAAATCAATACCCCTGATGAACACTGATGCAAAAATCCTCAATAAAATACTGGCAAACTGAATCCAGCAGCACATCAAAAAGCTTATCCACCACGATCAAGTTGGCTTCATCCCTGGGATGCAAGGCTGGTTCAACAAACGCAAATCAATAAAGGTAATCCATTATATAAACAGAACCAAAGACAAAAACCACATGATTATCTCAATACATTCAGAAAAGGCCTTCAACAAAATTCAACAGCCATTCATGCTAAAAACTCTCAATAAATTAGGTATTGATGGGACATATCTCAAAATAATAAGAGCTATTTATGACAAACCCACAGCCAATATCATACTGAATGGGCACAAACTGGAAGCATTTCCTTTGAAAACTGGCACAAGACAGGGATGCCCTCTCTCACCACTCCTATTCAACATAGTGTTGGAAGTTCTGGCCAGGGCAATCAGGCAAGAGAAAGAAATAAAGGGTTTTCAATTAGGAAAAGAGAAAGTCAAATTGTCCCTGTTTGCAGATGACATGATTGTATTTTTAGAAAACCCCATCATCTCAGCCCAAAATCTCCTTAAGCTGATAAGCAACTTCAGCAAAGTCTCAGGATACAAAATCAATGTGCAAAAATCATAAGCATTCTTATACACCAATAACAGACAAACAGCCAAATCATGAGTGAACTCCCATTCACAATTGCTTCAAAGACAATAAAATACCTAGGAATCCAACTTACAAGGGATGTGAAGGACCTCTTCAAGGAGAACTATAAACCACTGCTCAACGAAATAAAAGAGGACACAAACAAATGGAAGAACATTCCATGCTCATGGATAGGAAGAATCGATATTGTGAAAATGGCCATACTGCCCAAGGTAATTTATAGATTCAATGCCATCCCCATCAAGCTACCAATGACTTTCTTCACAGAATTGGAAAAAACTACTTTAAAGTTCATATGGAACCAAAAAAGAGCCCGCATTTCCAAGACAAAGCATTTTCATAACAGGAGTCTCATCTAATTCTCTTAACCTATGAAGCATATGATTGTTCGTCATATTTTAAAGGCGGGCAAATGAAGCTCACAAAGGACAAATGGTTCGCCCAAGGTCAGATAAATAATAATGTGATTCAGGAAAGACTCAAATGAAGACATAAATTCCAAGTTCAGTGTTTCTTCCACTTTTATGGCCTCTAATAAGATGAGTTCATTTGTGTCTTAAAGGCATATTGGTCTTCAACATCTCCTATTACATTTCAAACCTTCCTGTTATCTGTTGAATTATTAAATTGCTTTTTTAATCTTTATTTTAAAACATGTTTGTGTTCACACACATATATACATATAAAATATAAAAACATGTAAAGCATTAAGAGTTATTCATCATTCTATGAATTGATCCCTTTACACACACACACACGCATATTTTTCAAATAGTTGCCATAAACAAGAAAATTCTATTTAAAATCTTTTTAAATGTACCCTTACATTATAAATCTTTTACTATGCAGCTATGCGACATTAATAATGGTTATTAACTGCATAATATTCCATTATGTCTTCACCATAATTACTTAACCATTTGCATATTATGTAGACATTGAGATTACATCCAGGTTCATATTAGAGAATATGCTGTTGAGAAAAAAAGTTCTTACACTTCTATGAGAAGACTAGTTATTTGCTAGCTATTATAATAAGTAACTACCCAGCTGAGTTTAAATTTACGTAATCAATCAATGACAATTCATTTCAATAAACATGTTTCTGAAACCTAGTCAATCAATGACAGCTCAGAATTCTGAAAGTCAGCCAATTGGAAACAGCTTCACTTTAATAATTGCATTTTTAAAGTCAGCAACAGATGCACACTGGTAACCATGTTCCTAAAACTAAGGGTCAGCCAATCACTAAACAGTGATTATTACACATTGTATGCATGTAGCAAAATATCCCAAATACCCCATAAATATATACACCTACTATATAGCCAGAAAAATTAAAAATTTAAAAAAAACAAATTTCTCAAGTACAGTGTTTATATACAGTTCTTTTGTCTTGAGTCTTACAGCATCCATTCAGTTTAAACCCTGACTTCCCCACCTCCCTCCGTATCGGTTATGTGATTCATTCATAGTACATTCTGAGCCGCTTTGTCACACACAGCCGGCTTTCCATATTGTTCCCATATCCTGGCTGAGATTTTTAACTTACATGCAGTAAAATTCACTTTTATGGCATACAGTTTGATGGGTTTTGACACATGCATAGCGTCACGATTCTATAGAGAACATTTCCATCACACATCCACCTCCTCTTGAATTCCCCATGCTTCCTTTTTATACAAAACCCCTTCCCCTCACCCCCAACCCCTGCTCCTGCTGATGTGTTTTTCTCCCTATAGGTCTGCTCGTGGAATCAAACAACACATAGTCTTTGGGTTTTAAGATTCATCCATGTTGTTGGGGAATCAATAGCTTGTCCCTTGATATTGCTGAGTTATCTCCTATTATATAGATGTATCACAGTTTTTTTATTCATTCTCCAGCTGAAAGATATCTGGATTGTTTCCATGTTCTGACAATTACAATTACAATTTGACAATGACAATTACAATTATAAAGTGGCTATGAAGATTTGTGTACATATTTTTATGTGACCATAAATTTTTATCTCCCTTAAATGGGTACCTATGAGTGAAATTGTTGGACCACTTGATGGTCCACCATATGTGTTCAACTTTATAAGAAACTGCCAAACTGTTTTCTAAAGTAGTCAAATCCTTTTTTATCGTGACGAATAATGTTGGAGAGCTCCACTGGTTCCACAACCTCTCCAGCACATGATATTCAGAGATAACTGTAAACAGTCTTATAGATGCATACTGGTATCTTATTTTATTTCCCCTAATTTTTAGTGATTCTGAGCCCATTTTCATATACTTATTTTCCATCCAAAATTCCTTCTTTGGTGAAGGTTCAGACGTTCTGTCCATTTCGTAAAATTAGGTTGTTGTCTTATTGTTGAGTTTTAAATATTCCCTATATTCCGAATGCAGCTTTTAGTCAGAAATGTGATTAGCAAATATTTTCCCCCAATCTATGCCTTCTATTTTTCAAATATTTAATAGTGTCTTTCTCAGAGCAAAATGTTACATTTTAATATAAAGTCCAGTTTATCGAATTTTTTTCTTTTACATAAGCTTTTGGTGTCATGTCTACAAATTCTTTGCCTAACCCACATCGTGAAAGTTTTCTCTTAGGGAATTTTCTATTATAGAAGTGTTATGATTTTAGATTTTGCATTTAGTCTATTAATCATTTTTGATTCACATTTTTATGCAGCGTAAGGTGCAGACTAAGACTCTTTTTTGTTTTCACATGTATGCCCAATTTTTCAGCACCACTTACTGGGATTACAGGCGTGAGCCACTGCACGCAGTCCATTGCTTGATTTATGATGTTGAACCAGTCATATATTCCTGCAATAAACCCCACTTGGTTGGGATATATTATCCTTTTTATGTTTTGCTGGATTTGATTTGTTAATGTTTTCTTGAAGATTTTTATCTTCAACTGTTTATATCTGCAGTTTTCTTTCTTATAATATCTTTGTCTAGTCTTGGTATTGAGACATCCAATACTAATAAAATGAATTGAAAAGTGTATTCTCTGTTTTTACTCTGGAAGAGATTATGCAGAGCAATCAGGCAAGAGAAAGAAATAAGGGGCATCCAAATTGGAAAAGAAGAAGTCAAAGGATCTCTGTTTGCCAATGATTTGATTGTACACCTAGAAAACTCCTCCAAAAGACTCCTAGATTTGATCAATGAATTCAGTAAAGTCTCAGATTATAAAATCAATGCACACAAATCAGTAGCACTGCTATACACTAAGAATGTCCAAGCTGAGACTCACATCAAGAACTCAATTTCTTTTACAATAGCCGCAAAAAAAATAAAATATCTAGGAATATACTTAACCAAAGAGATTAAAAATCTCTACAAGGAGAACTACAAAATACTGCTGAAAGAAATCATAGATGACACAAACAAACAGAAAAACATCCCATGCTCATGGATTGGAAGAATCAATATCATGAAAATGACGATACTGCTCAAAGCAATCTACAGATTCAGTGCAATTCCTATCAAAAAGACACCTGCATATGTATGTTTATCACAGCGCAATTCCCAACTGCATAGATATAGAACCAGCATAAGTGCTCATCAACTGATGAGTGGATAAAGAAACTGTGGTATAAATACACCATGGAATACTACTCAACCATTAAAAAAGAATAAAATAATGCCTTTAGCAGCAACTTGGATGGAGCTGGAGGCCATTATTCTACATGAAGTAACTCAGGAATGGAAAACCAAATACTATATATTGTCACTTACGAATGGGAGCTAAGCTATGGGTGCACAAGTGCATGCAGAGTGGTACAATGGACTTTGGAGACTCAGAATAGGAGAGGATGGGAAGAAGATGAGGGATAAAGAAAACTACATATTGGGTACAATGTACCAATTTGGGTGATGAGTGCACTAAAATCTCAGACTTCACCCTTATGCAATTTATCCATGTCACCAAAAAACACCTGTACCCCCAAAAGTATTGAAATTTTTAAAAAGAAAAAAAAGAAGCTGTGAATTTCTTCCACGGATCCTCATATTAGATGCCTGTCTACTCAGTAAACTAAAAATATTTCTTCCTATATATGTCAAGCCACACCTATCTACTTAATTTTTGGAGACTGTGATCAATTAGCCGTAACCACAGATATCTATGTTTAAATAATCTGGCAATCTTGTTTTCCCTATCATGTAATCAGATATGATATTATAAAAGATGAAAGTATGTTTCTTGGTTGAAAGTCTGAGATTGAGCCCAGTCATGGGCTGGGACATGGCAACAATCTGAGGATTATTAGAGATACCCACCATCTGTGTTTGTTCAAGGGAAAGGTTGTATAATTGTGGTAAGGCTTAAGATTTATATTGTAGTGCCCATTTCAATAAAACAGTGCAAGGTTATTGGTATGGTTTGAATGTGTCTCCCAAAAATCATGTGTTGGAAAGTCAACCCCCAATACCACAGTGTTAAGAGGTGAAATCTTTAAGAAGTGTTAGGCCATGAGGGCTCTGCCCTCATTAAGAGATTCATACCATTATCCCAGGAGTAAGTTCCTTATAAGAGGATGAGTTTGGCCCTCACTTGCTCTCTCTCTTTCTCCTATGTGATGCCCTCCACCATGTTATGATGCAGCAAGAAGGCTCTCACCAGATGCCAGGCCCTCAATCTTGGACTCTCAGCCTCTGGAACCATGAGCCAGTTTGTGACATAAATTACCCAGTCCGAGATATTCTGTTACAGCAGCACAAAATGGACTCAGACAGTTATACTTTAACATATAGAGAAATGTCTTCTTGTGAGTTTGTCAACATTTTTATTATTGTTTAATATGCCCAGGTTACCCACCTGCTGACTAATTTATTTGCTTAAGAATACATCCTGTACCTCACTCTGTGCTTCTAGGCTCCATTTCTTTCTTGACTAAATCATTTGTTGGTTCTTTCAACAAGGTTCTATCAGTGGTGGATTCAGGTGCATTGTTAGTTTATCTCACTATTTTACAGATATTGTTCTATTGCCTTCTAGTTTCTATTCTTGCTTTTGAGAAGCCTACTTAGAGTTTATTTTTTCTTCCTTTGTAAGTTGTCTTTTTTCTCTGCTTTTGAAAAATATCTTTTCTTTATGGTTGTAGTTTGGAAGTTTCATCATCTGTCTAGGTGTGGATTTAGTTTTATTCACAACCTGGGCTTATGATTGCTGGGTCTTTAGGTTAATATTTTTCATCAATTCTGAAACATTGTCTCTCAGAAGACTCTTTGCCTACTATCTTTCCCTCATCTTCTTCATTATCTCTCTTTAGAGTTCCAGTTAGACACATAGTATACCTTCTCTCTCCACTTCCATGTCTTTTATACATTCCTTTTCTTTATCTTTTTTTTCTATACACATTCTAAATGTAAGCTTTTTTTATCTTTGCAGGAAGCATTCTCAGTAAATTCATGAGCTTTATCTTCTAGTTCGCTAATCTCTTTTTGGCTATTTAACCTCCTATTATTTTAAAAACTGTAATGATCATTTTTAATTTTTAGAAGTTATATTTTGTCTTTTTAAGATTTGCTATATTTGATCAGTAATAATTATTTTATCACTTTTAATTATTTATTTTCTGTCTAATGATTGTCAACATGTTAATTTTAAAATTTCTGTGGGTTTTTTTTTTATTTGGTCTGATGACATTCTCAAAGTGCATGGTTTATTCTTTTGTTTCATAATTTTGATTGTGATCTTCTCCTTAGCAAAATTTATCTGTGGGAACCAAGGGTAGCTGAGCTGGGGGCATGAGCCTGTAGAGAGGTTTACCAGTTGCTCCTGCTATTCTGCGGGAACTGAGGGTAGCTGAGCTGGGGGCATGAGCCTGTAGAGACATTTACCAGTTGCTCCTGCTATTCACTTCAGACTTATCAACAGCACTCACCACTTTCTAATTCCAATGACTATGTATTTTATTTCTAGAAGTTATACTTGTCTTTTTCATATCTGTCTAATCTTTGCTTATATCTATTTCTTTTCTCATATATTTCAATCCTTTTGTTTCCTAAATGATGTTACTCATGTTCATTTTAGAGTCTATCTAATAATTCCATTTTCTTAAATTATTGGGGGGTCAAATATGGAGGTTTTTCTTCTCTCTCCTATTCATCAAAGATTATATCACGTTTTATATGTTTGGACTGTGAGGTCATGTTTGTCTGATTTTGTGCAAATCCCACGAGGCCACTCCCTCCAGAGTGGTTTTGAATTTGCTTTTGGCAAAAGCAATAAGGATATTATATCACAGGGCCACTTTTAGGTTAATGTTTGGACTTGGTTCTAGACTTTGCAAATGATATAAATTTATTTCCCAATCTTGTGTCAAGATAGGACTCCGGTTATGAATTATCAGGGAAGGTTTTTTTCCCACTCAGATCTCAAGACAAAATAGATTCATTTACTCATACTTCCTTGCTAAGAGCTAGATTTTGTCAAATATTTTACTGAAGATGGAGCCCTTCAAGTAACCTGATATTAGTTCTAACCCCATGTCTCCTGATGGCCCAAGATCTCATTTTCTCATAAGATGCTACTAAAACACAAGCCTTATGTTACTTAGACCAGCAAACACTGCAGAGAATCAGCAATAAATAAGGTTCAGGTGCTTATGGCCCTAGTTTTTAATTCCTTCTTCTTTTAAGCTCATGAGTATATGCCTTAATTTTTGTAGGATCATCTAAGCATTTAAAAGGATATTTCAGTTTAATGAGCATTTCTAGTTTTTTTAATAGAAAAAAGTTTAACTTATTTAACCCACAATAATGCTGGAAAAGGTAATCTCCTTTTCTATTAGTAAGAATATAACTCCCACATAAACCCTCTGAGCTATGGCCCTTTGAACACCATCCCACCACCAACAAAGCATGGCTCTTTCAAATAAAGTCTTTGTTTTCTATTGTATTGTTTTGGCATCAGTATTAAAAAAAAACAACTCTATTTTGAAAGTCAAAGTTGAATAGTGACCTCTTTGTCTCAGCTGTATTTATCTTCCCCATTCCATAGACCAATAAATTTCAGCCCTTGACTTAGTCTTAGTAGGAAAATGACTGTGGAATAAGGAGGTCAGAAAATGACGGAAAAGAAAGTCCATCAGGTAATATTTCCAAATATACTGGTTAATGAGGCTTATCTTTCCTAGTATTTTCTTTTGTAAATTTCTCTTTTTTCAATATTTTATTTAATTGTTTTGAGATGGGGGTCTCACTATGTTGCCCCAGGCTGTTCTCAAACTCCTGGACTGGACTCAAGCAATCCTCCCACCTCAGCCTCTCATGTAGCTGGGATTACAGGCATGAGCCAACACCTCAAGCTCAACATTTTATTATAAAAAATGTTCAAATATCCAGAAAGTTAAAATAAGGATACAGTGAACACCTACAAATCTACTACCTTTGTTTAATAATTGTTAGCATTTTTCTATAATTTAAAATAATATATATACATAAGGATAAGTATACATAGGTTGAGCCATTTGTAGGTAACTTGTAGACATTTCAACACTTCATGTCTAAAACTTCAGCATACAGTAGTCCCTCCTTATCCATGGGAGGTACATTCATGACCCCAAGTGGATGCCCAAAACTGCAGATAGTAACAAACTCTATATACATTGGCTTTTTTCATATACACGCATATTAAGATAAAGTTTAATTTATAAATTAGGCACAATAAAAGATTAACAACAATAAATAATAATAAAATAGAACAAGTATAACAATATACTGCTCACAGGTTCAGAGACAGAAAATTCAGTCTCACCATAGACCTTTGTAACCTCAGAATATGATTCTTTTTCTATCCTTGAGTCAAACACATTCACCTTTTCACTTAAAGGAAGCATTTTATGGCTTCTTTTTGGCATATCTGAATTGCCAGCATCACTACTCTTGTGCTTTGGGGCCATTATGAACTAAAATAAGGTGACTTGAACACAAGCATGGTGATACGCAATGGTCGATCTGATAATCCAGACAGCTACTGACAAATGGGGAGTGCAGACAGGATGGATATGCTGGACAGAGGGGTGATTCACATTCTGAGCTGGACAGAGCAGGACAACATGAGATTTCATCTCACCACCCAGAACAGTGTGCAATTTAAAACTTAGGAGTTGATTGTTTCTGGAATTTTCCACTTAATATTTTTGGACCATGGTTGACCATTGGTAACAAACTGTGGAAAGCAAAACTGCAGACAAAGAGATAAAGAGGGAGTACTGTACATCACCTAAGAATGAGCAGGTTTTCCTACATAGCCATACTATTATCGTGCAGAATGTTGACAGTACTTCCTAAATATCATCTAATGCCCAGTCTCTGCAAATGTTCAAAAGTGTGTTTTATAGTTTTCCCCTTCCCGCCCAATAGAGTTTTAAACAAAGAGAATACTCTATTGTCACTGGATGTCTTTATTATGGTAAAACTTTGAAAGAAAGGGATGGCTACTTCATTATTTGAATAATCAAAAAGTCCTTGAAAGAAAAAGATACGATAACCTACATAGATGTTCTGTGGTGCGTTTCTCAGTGTTCTGGAAATTTGGGAACTGCAAGATTCACTTTATCAACCTTAATTTTTCAGCTCTAATATAAAGTTCCCAAAATCAAGAAACTTTTATATGCTCTTAGAAACTTTTCCGCTTACTATTTTAGTTAGTTCCAACTTCATGTAAGTGCCTTAATCTTCTAAGAATTGATGTTATTAAATAAATGGTCAGACTTTCCACTTAGGCTTTCAAAAATTAACATTAGGTATAAAAAAATACATTCGATAGTCACCTTAGGACTGAGGGCCTGGGCTCTAAGTCTGCCCCTCTTCATTTCCCAGCAATGATCCATGAGCACCCACCTATCTAGCCATCTCCTAAGTAAGCCACACTCTGGTACCATTGAGTTGCTCTAGAATGCTGATGGATGGCCGAGCTACAATAAAACAAACAACAGGAGTACATACCGCCACCATCTTGGCCTGGATTATCTTTTCTTTCCAAATTCAGATCAAGCCACTCAGAGCTAATTGATATCTCCAGCTAATATTTCACCAATACAACAAAGCCAATAGCTACATTTTTGATTTGTGGATTCTCCAGCATGTGCTTCCCAATGGTTAAGATGCTTCTCCATAACTGGGTAAGATGTTAAAACAATGATCATAATCTGCTAGGTTTAAAAATAGGATTAGCATTATGTGTCGATAAGGGTTTTTTGTTTTAGGAAACTGATTTCCTCATATGTAGTGTGTTAGAACCCTATTTTTTTCTGGCTTTAGGTATGTATATTTCTGATGAAGTTAAGTTCTAGTGACTGACCTGCATCTCTTATAGCTCTAGGTACTACTCAGCAGGAATCTTTTCCTTCCAGGTTTGATTTATTTTCACTGACAATTTTCTCTTTTTTCTACTATGTTATTATGCTACCCACAGCCATAACACCTCTATTGACTCCCTTACTCTCCAGCAACCTTGGCTTACACATCTGGCTGAGCTGTTGAATCCAACTATAAATCCCAGTTGGAAGCCCAGTCTTCTAGACTAGAGTATGCATGGCCAATAGCCTTGTTCCAGATAATGCTGGGCACATATTGCTGTAGTTGCTGGAAGTGGAATTTAGGGAATTCATTGTCACTGAATAACATTCTATTAGATGCAGATACAAATTTTTATCCATTCCCCTGTTGATGATCTTTGGGTTGTTTCTAGTTTTTTACTATTACAGACAAAGAACATTGGTGTACCAATCTTTGTACAGACATGTGCTTTCATATCTCTGGGTGAAATAGCTGGATCATGTGTAAGGTGTTATATATAACATTTTGAGGATGTTAAAGTAACCTGCCATGTTTGGAATAAACTCTGCTTTGTTATGATATATAATCCTTTTATATGTTGGGATAATTTGCTAAAATTTTATTAGGAATTTTAGAGTTTATGTTCAGGAGTGATACTTTTCTGCAGTTTTCTTTACTTGTGATTTTTTTTTTTTTTTCTGCTTTTGGCATCAGGGGAAGGTTGGCCTCATGGAATGGCTTGGAAAATAGTCCCTCCACTTCGTTTTTTTTTTTTTAATTATACTTTAAGTTTTAGGGTACATGTGCACAATGTGCAGGTTAATTACATACGTATACATGTGCCATGCTGGTGTGCCGCACCCACTAACTCGTCATCTAGCATTAGGTATATCTCCCAATGCTATCCCTCCCCTCTCCCCCCACCCCACAACAGTACCCAGAGTGTGATGTTCCCCTTCCTGTGTCCATGTGTTCTCATTGTTCAATTCCCACCTATGAGTGAGAATATGCGGTGTTTGGTTTTTTGTTCTTGCGATAGTTTACTGAGAATGACGATTTCCAATTTCATCCATGTCCCTAAAAAGGACATGAACTCATCATTTTTTATGGCTGCATAGTATTCCATGGTGTATATGTGCCACATTTTCTTAATCCAGTCTATCATTGTTGGACATTTGGGTTGGTTTCAAGTCTTTGCTATTGTGAATAGTGCCTCAATAAACATACGTGTGCATGTGTCTTTATAGCAGCATGATTTATAGTCCTTTGGGTATATACCCAGTAATGGGATGGCTGGGTCAAATGGTATTTCTAGTTCTAGATCCCTGAGGAATCGCCACACTGACTTCCACAATGGTTGAACTAGTTTAGAGTCCCACCAACAGTGTAAAAGTGTTCCTATTTCTCCACATCCTCTCCAGCACCTGTTGTTTCCTGACTTTTTAATGATTGCCATTCTAACTGGTGTGAGATGATATCTCATTGTGGTTTTGATTTGCATTTCTCTGATGGCCAGTGATGGTGAGCATTTTTTCATGTGTTTTTTGGCTGCATAAATGTCTTCTTTTGAGAAGTGTCTGTTCATGTCCTTTGCCCACTTTTTGATGGGGTTGTTTGTTTTTTTCTTGTACATTTGTTTGAGTTCATTGTAGATTCTGGATATTAGCCCTTTGTCAGATGAGTAGGTTGCGAAAATTTTCTCCCATTTTGTAGGTTGCCTGTTCACTCTGATGGTAGTTTCTTTTGCTGTGCAGAAGCTCTTTAGTTTAATTAGATCCCATTTGTCAATTTTGGCTTTTGTTGCCATTGCTTTTGGTGTTTTAGACATGAAGTCCTTGCCTGTGCCTATGTCCTGAATGGTAATGCCTAGGTTTTCTTCTAGGGTTTTTATGGTTTTAGGTCTAACGCTTAAGTCTTTAATCCATCTTGAATTAATTTTTGTATAAGGTGTAAAAAAAGGGATCCAGTTTCAGCTTTCTACATACGGCTAGCCAGTTTTCCCAGCACCATTTATTAAATAGGGAATCCTTTCCCCATTGCTTGTTTTTCTCAGGTTTGTCAAAGATCAGATGGTTGTAGATATGCGGCGTTATTTCTGAGGGCTCTGTTCTATTCCATTGATCTATATCTCTGTTTTGGTACCAGTACCAGGCTGTTTTGGTTACTGTAGCCTTGTCATATAGTTTGAAGTCAGGTAGCATGATGCCTCCAGGTTTTAATGGAAGAATTTCTGTGGAATTGGTGTTATTATTATTTCCTTAAATGTTTAGTAGAATTCACTATTGAAGCCAACTGTGCTGAAGTTTTCTTTCTGTGCAGATTTTTAACTACAAATTCAATTTTGTAAATAGATATTGCAATGTTTAGGTTAGCTATTTCTACTTCACTGATATTTGGTAGCTTAGATCTTTCCAGGAATTTGCCTGTATCTATCTTCTACATGTAAAATTTACTGAAGTAAGATTGCTTGAAGTATTCCCTTATTTTGCTTTTGATATCTGTTGAAACTATTGGGATTTCACATCTCGTGTTCCTGATTTTAGTAACTGTGCTTTTATTTTTTTTTTCCCTGCTCAGTCTGGGTAGATTTTATCAATTTTATTGATCTTCTCAAAGAAGTAGGTTTAGGTTTCATTGATATTGTCTCTTGTTCTTAGGTTTTCTATGTCATTGTTTCAGGTTAGATATTTATTATTTCTTGTTTTCAGCATACTTCATATTTCATGTGCTCTTGTAGTTTCTTTCAGATTGAAGATGAGGTCATTTATTTGACAGCTTCTTCCTTTTCTAATTTAAATACGTAATGCCGTCAATTTCCTGCTAAGTAGTACTTTAACTACATCTCACAAGTTTTGATATACTATGTTTTCACTTTAATTCAGTTAAAATATTTTACATTTTTTCTATTGATTTCATCTTTGTCCATGAGTTATTTATAACCGTACTATGTTGTTTTTATGTATTTGGGAAATTTCCATTTTTTTGGTGATTGGAATGTAGTTTAATCCCATTGAATAAAAAGAACTTGCTTTGTATGATTTGAATTCTTTTAAATGTATTGAAATTTGTTTTATGGCTCAGAATACAGCCCATATTGGTGAATTTTTTTTTTTTTTTTTTTTTTTTTTTTTTTTTTTTTTTTGAGACAGAGTCTCACTCTGTCGCCCAGGCTGCAGTGCAGTGGTGGGATCTTGGCTCACTGCAAGCTCTGCCTCCTGGGTTCACGCCATTCTCCTGCCTCAGCCTCCCAAGTAGCTGGGACTACAGGCGCCCGCCACTACGCCCGGCTAATTTTTTTTTGTATTTTTAGTAGAGACGGGGTTTCACCGTTTTAGCCGGGATGGTCTCGATCTCCTGACCTCGTGATCCGCCCGCCTCGGCCTCCCAAAGTGCTGGGATTACAGGCGTGAGCCACCGCGCCCGGCCTGGTGAATGTTTTATGTGCATCCTTTAAAATGCATATTCTGCTGTTTGGGTGGAGTCTTTTATAAATGTAATTATGAATAGTTGCTTGATGATGTTAAATATTTTATATACCTACTGATCTTCTCTTTATGTGTTTTATCAATTATTGGAAATGATTATTAGTGCTTCATATATAATTGTGGATTTGTCTATTTCTCCATGCAATTCTATCCATTTTTCTTCAAGTATTTTGAAGCTGGTTTTAGGCATATACATATTCAGAATTGTTATATCCTCTTAAGGAGTTTATGTCCTTATTATTATGGCATTTCTCTCTTTATCCCTGGTAATATTCTTTGCCCTACAATCTCTGTCTCATATTATTATAGGCAATTTAACTTTCTTTTAATTAGAGTTCACATAATATAACATTTTCCACTATTTTACTTTTAACTTGTGTCTTTATGTTTATAATGGGTTTCTGCCATCAAATATAGTTCTTACATGTTTCATCCTGATAAGAGAAACTACAAAATAAAAAATTTCACAGAAAATATATTATAATTAATAGTGAATTACTGAAAAATTTCCCCTGTGATTGGTAATAAGATAAATATGGGTGCCCTCACCACTTTTATTCAACATTAGAATGGAAGACCTAGCCAGTACAATAAAGCCAGAAAAAGAAATAAATTAAGAATTGTACGACAGCAAAAAATAAAAACTGTCATTCAAAATTATATCATTTTATATGTAGTATTTCTGAAAAGTTCTACAGATCTTTTGTCAATTAGAAATAATATATTTAGAAATAATGTAAGATATATATAAAAACCAGTTTTACTTCTAAATATCAACAATAAACTAAAAAAAATTTTTAATCATGACACTTATCATAGCATTTTTAAAACCGTCAAATATCTAGGAATAAATAAAAGAAAATTGCATATGAACCTCTATACTGAAATTTATAAAACATTATTGAACAAAATTTTTAAATATAAATAAAAAAGCTATATCATGTTTATAGATTAGAAAATCTGGTATTGTTAAAATTTAAATTTTTTCAAAATTTATTAATAAAGGCAAAAAAATTTCTCCCCTCCTCAAAATCTTGGCAGGTTGGGAAATTAACCAATTGATTCTAGGATTTGTATGGAAATGTAGAGAGCCAAGAATTGTCAATGTAATACTGAGGAAGAACAAAGCTTAGAGACTTATATTATAAGATATCAAGAATGTGGTAAAGCTACAGTCATTAAACAATATGGGCATTGGCACAAAGGCAGAAAAGAAGATCAATAGAACAAATTATTGTGCAGATACAGACCCACATACATATGGTTATGACAAAGTGACCCTACAGTACAGTGAGGAAAATGATATTCTCTTGTCTTCAATAAATAGGCCTGAGTCAATTATATACATTGAGAAAAAATGGATTATGGTAGGCAGAATACTAAGATGGTCCCCAGTGATTCATGCCCCTGGAATCCATGCCTTTACAAATTCCTCTCCCCCTGAGTGGTGGAAAGACCTGTAACTTGCTTGTAACCAATAGAATATGGCAAAGGCAAGGGATTTTTTTTCAATGTAATTAAAGTTTCTAATCAGTTTATTTTAAGAAAGACAATAGAATCTCCCTTTAATAAAAAGGCAAATTATCCTGGGCAGGTCTCACCTAATCAAAAGAGTCCCTTACCATAGTTTCTAGAGTGAAAAACTTTAAGCAGTAAAATATTTCTCTTTCCCTTGGTAGCTTTGAAGAAACAAGCTGCCATGAATTCTGCAACCAAAAGAAAATGAATTCGGCTAACAACTATGTGAGCATGGAAAACAACTCAAGCCTCACATGAGACCTCCCAGTCTAGTTAACAGCTTGATCTCAGCTTTGTGAGACCCTGAGTGAAGGACACAGCTAAGCCATGGCCAGACTCCTGACCCATGGAAACTCTGAGGTCATAAAATACGTGTTGTTTCAAGCCGTTAAATTTATGGTGATTGGTTATACAGCAACATAAAACTAACATAGAGACCCTTAGCTCATACTATACCAAGAAAAGAAAACTAGCTCCAGATGACTATAAAAGTTAATAAAAGAATATATCTACAACCCCAGGATAGGTTAACATTTCTTAATAGGACAAAGTAATGCTAATCATAGAAAAATAATAATAAACCATAATATATTGTAATTATGAATTTCTACTCATCAAAATATTTCATTAGGAAAGTTGAAAGATAAGTCACAGAGTGGTAAAATGTATTTTCAATTCACATACCTGACAAAGGATTCACTTATAAAATGCCTGAATAATTTTTACAAATAAAATTGAAAAGAAAAGCAAGCAATAAAGTAGGAAAAAATAGTCAATACTTAATCAGATAATGATGGCAACCAGATGGCAGACTAAGAAGTACCAGCCTTCATCCTCCTGCCCCACAAACAATAATTAAATAACTATCCAAAGATGAATAGGATAAAAGAAAAGCAGGAGGATGCAAGCACCCTTTAGCATCTAGGACCACAATTGCTCTTGCCTCCACTGTGGACCTCTGCAGCCTTTGCTGTTGAGGACACCCACAGTCTTCACAATGCAGAACACAACTGCTGGAGGCACCCAGAGCCAATGACATTGCACATCCCTGAAACCAGAGCCACCCGGGCGCTGCTCTGCCAATGCCACCAAATGTCCCCAAGATCCAATACCACTTTTATCTCTCCACCAGCCAGTGCCACCATGCATGCACCTTCAAGACTAGGTGCCACCACGTCCCCACTGGAGCTGTCATCCTCACACACACCCAGATTCAGTGGTGCCAAAGAGCACACAACTATGGACCCCAAAACCAGTATTTCTGTGTCCTACTCAATCTAGTGCCCACACGTGGCCTCCTAGTGTCCCTGAACTCAGCACCACCACACACCCCACCTAGCCAAAGTCCTTACACCCACCCACTGGTGAAGGTCTTTCCCTACTGATGCCAGCCTGTAAAGTCAGGAAGAATGACTGCTTCTTCAGATTTGTAGATATCAACACAAGCCTACAAGGAACACACACAAAAAAATCAGGGAAACATGACATAACAAAAGGATCACAATGAATTTTCACTAGCAAATCCCCAGGAAATGGAGATCTGTAAATTGCCTGAAAAGAATTATAAACAATTATTTAAAAGCTCAGCAAGTTACAGACAACAGATATACAACTAAACCAAATCAGGAAACCAATACATGAAGAAAATCAGAAGTTCAACAAACAGATAGCAATCTCACACACAAAAAGAAACTCCCCCAAAATCTGGAGCTGAAATAATACAATGACTGAAATGAAAAAGGCAATAAAAGGCTACAACAGCAAGCTTGATCAAGGAGAAGAAAGAATCAGTGAACATGAAAATAGGTCATTTGGAACTATACAAGGGGGAAAAAGGAAAGAAATGAAAAAGAGTGAAGAAAGTCTGTGGGGACTTATGGGACACCATCAAACAAACCAATATATGCATTATGTAAATTCCAGAAGGAGACAGGAGAAAGAAAGGAGCAGAAAGGCTTCTTTAAATAAATAATGTCTGAAACTTCCAAAATCTAAAGGAAATAGACCTCAGAGCTAAAAAGCCTAAAGGATATCAAATAGATTGAACATAAAGATGTCTACAATGAGACATATTATAATTAAATAGTCAAAATCAAAGATGCAGAGAAAATTTTGAGAGCAGCTAGAGAAAAATGACATCACATAGAAAGGAACTCCTATATACAATTATCAGTGAATTTCTCAGCAAAAATTTTGGATCCCAGGAAAGAATGTGATAATGTATTCAAAGTACTGGGGAAAAAAACTCTGCTATCCAAGAATACTATACCCATCAAAACTATTACTTAAAATGAAAACACAATAAAGCCTTTCCCAGACAAACAAAGATTGAGGGAGTTCATCATCACTACACCTGCCTTACAAGCAATTCTTAAGGGAATTCATCAAATTGAAAGGAAACCATGCTAAAGAGCAATGTGAAAACATATGAAAGCATAAATCTCACTTGTAAAGGTAAACATGCAAATGCAGAATAATGTTATACCATAGTAGCAGTGTGTAAATTACTTTTAACACTAATATAAAAGTTAAAAGACAAAAATGTTAAGAATGACTACAATACAAAAAATTGTTAATGAATAAACAACATAAAAAGACAGAAACTCTGACCTCAAGAACACAAAGTGGGGTGGAGGGAATAAAAGTGTAGAGATTTAGTATCCAATTTGAAGCTAAGTTGTTAACAACTTAAAGCAGATGGTTATAGCTACAAAATATTTTATGCAAGTCTTGCGGTAACCACAGAAAAAAATCCAATAATAGATATGCAAAAGATAAAAAGCAAAGAATCAAAACAAATTACTACTAAAAAAACTTCAAATAACAAAAGAAGACAGCAAGAGAGGAAGAGAGGAACAAAAGAACTGGAGACCAGAAAACAATTAACAAAATGGCAATATTAAGTCCTCATCTATCAGAAATTACTTTAAATATAAATGAGTTAAACTCCCCCAATCAAAAGGCATAGAGTAACTTGATTTTTAAAAATCAAGATCTAGCAATATACAGTTTATAAGAAACTCATTTTAGATTTAAGGACACACATAGGCTGAAAATGAAGGGACGGAAAAGATATTCTATGCAAATGGTAACCAAAATAAAGAAGGGGTGGCTACACACACACACACACACACACACACACACACACACATACACACACATGTATATATGTGTATATGTCTGTGTATATGTATATACATGTGTATATGTGCGTGTGTAATATATGTTTTACATATATATACATATATATTACACTTTAAGTCAAAAGCTGTCTCTAGAGACAAAGAAACTCATTATATAATGATGAAAGGATCAATCCATCAATTGTAAATACATAATGCACCCAACATCAGACCACCTAACATTGACAGGTATGAAGGGAGAAGTAGATAAACAGTACAATAATAGTAGGAGACTTCAATAGCACATTTTCAATAATAGATACAGCATCCAGACATAAAAATCAGTAAAGAAACAGGTGACTTGAGGAACACTATAGACCAAATTAACCTAATATAGTCATATACAGGACTTTCTACCCAACAGCAGAATACATATTCTTCTCAAGCACACACAGAACATTCTCCAAGATAGATCACATATTAGGTCACAAAATCGATCTTAACAAATTTAATGCCAATAAATTTAATGCCTTAACAAATAATCATATCAAGTACCTTTTCTAATCACAACAGAATAAAACTAGAAATCAATAACAATAAGAAAATGGGAAAATTCACAAGTGTGTGGAAACGAAAAAATACATGCTTGAACAACCATTGGGTCAAAAAGAATCAAAAGGGAATTTTAAAAATATCGTAAGACAGGCCGGGCACAGTGGCACATGCCTGTGATCCCAGCATTGTGGAAGGCTGAGGCAGGAGGATCATTTGAGCCCAGGAGTTTGAGACCATCCTGGGGAACATAGTGAGACCTCGTCTCTATAAAAATATTTAAAAATCATCTGGACATAGTGGCATGCACCTGTGGTCCCAGCTACTCAGGAGCCTTAGGCAGGAGGATCACTTCAGCCTGGGAGGTCAGGGTTGCAGTAAGCCATGATCATACCCCTACACTCCAGCCTGAGAGACAAAGTGAGACTCTGTCTCAAAAAAAAGTATATATATATATATATATATATATATATGTTTTATATATATGTCATATATATATTTGTTATTATATATATATTTGTTATATATATATATATTTGTTTTATATATATATATATATATATATATATATATATATATATATATATAAAACAAATGAAAACAAAAACACAACATACCAAAACTTAGGGGATGCTGCAAAAGCAGCACTAAGAAATAAGTTTATGGTAATACATGCTTTAATTTAAAAAGAAGGAAGATTTTAAATAAACAACCTAACTTTATACCTCAAGGAACTAGAAAAAGAAGAACAAACTATGCTCAAAGTTAGCAGAAGAAAGGAAAAAATAAAGATTAGACCAGAAATAAATGAAATAGGGAATAGTAAAACAATAGAAATGATCAATGAACCAAGAGTTGGTTTTTTGAAAAGATAAACAAATTTGACAAACCCTTGGCTAAACTAAGAAAAAAAGAGAGAAGACTCAAATAAATAAAATCGGACATGAAACATTACAATGGATGAGACATTACAATGGGTGCCTCAGAAATAAGGATCTTAAGCAACTATTGTGAACAGTTATATGCCAATAATTTGGACAACCTAGGAATAAATTCCTAGAAACTATAGCTCATTAAGAATGAATCAAGAAGAGATGGAAATCCTGAACAGACCAAAACCAAGTAAGGAGATTGAATCAAAATGTAAAACCTCTCAACAAAGTAAAGCTAAAGACCTGTGAAGCTCAGCCTTCATGAGTAAATTCTAACTAATGTTCAAAGAAACACTAATACTAATCATTCTTAAACTCTTCCCAAAAGCAGCAAAGAGAATACTTCCAAACTCATGTTGTGAGGCCAGAATCACCTTGATACCAAAGCCAAACAAAGGCACCACAAGAAAACTGTAAACCAATATCCCTGATGAATATAGATGCAAAACTCCTCAATAAAATTCTAGCAAACCAAATTCAATAGCACATCAAAATGATCATACACCATACCAACTTGGATTTATTCCTAGTAACCCAAGCAAGAATGGTTCAACATATGCAAATCGATAAATTATATACAACAGTAAAAGATAAAAACCACATGATTATCTTAATACATCAGAAAAAGCATTTAACAAAATTTGATATCCATAAAAGTTCTAAAACATCAGTATAGAAGAAACTTAACACAACACAAGCCATATATGAAAAGCCCACATGTAACATCATAATCAATAGGGAAAAACTGAAAGCTTTTCCTCTGAGATCCAGTACAAGGTAAAGATGCCCTCTCTCACCATTTCTATTCAAGATAGTACCAGAAGTCCTAGCTAGGGCAATTAGACAAGAAAAGAAAGTAAAGGCATCGAAATCAGAAAGAAAAAGATAAAAATATCTCTTCCTGCAGATGAAATGATCATATAAGTAGAAAACTCTAAAGACTCAGAAACAGTTTGTCATAACTAATAAACAAATTCAGTAAAGTTGCAGGATAACATAATCAATATATGAAAATTGGTGGTGCTTTTATACAGTAACAATGAACTATCTGCAAAGGAAATTATGAAAAAATCCCATTTATAATAGCAACAAAATGAACAAAATACATAAGAATAACTTAACCAAAGAGGTAAAAGACTTGTACATTGAAAATTATAAAACATTTGATGAAGGAAATTAAAGACCACCTAGATAAATGGAAAGACATCCAATGTTTGTGTATTGGACGAATTAATATTACCAAAATATCTATGCTAATAAAAGGATCTATAGATCTAATGCAATTTCTGTGAAAATATCAATGGCATTCTTTATAGAAATAAAAAAGTGCTAAAATTCATATGGAATCAAAAAAGACATTGAAAAGCCAAATTAATTTTGAGAAAGAAGAACAAAGCTGGGGGCATCATATTTTTTAATTTCAAAATATATTGCACATCTACAGTAATTGAAGCAGTGTGGTACTGGCATAAAAAGAGACATATACATCAATAGAACAGAATAAAGAGCCCAAAATAAATTCATACAGTTACAGTCAACTTATCTATGACAAAAGTGCCAGGAACACAGATGAAAAAAGAATACTCTCTTCAATAAAAGGTATTGGGAAAACTGGATATCCACATGCAAAAAAGAAAGAAAGAAAAAGAAAGAAAGAAAGAAAGAAAGAAAGAAAGAAAGAAAGAAGAAAGAAAGAAAGAAAGAAAGAAAGAAAGAAAGAAAGAGAAAGAGAAAGAAAGAAAGAAAGAAAGAAAGAAAGAAAGAAAGAAAGAAGAGAAAGAAAGAAAAGAAAAGAAAAAAGAAAAGAAAGAGAAAAGAAATTGGACCGTATGTCACACCATTTACAATAAAATCATCTCAAAACAGATTAAATACTTAAATGTAAGACCTAAAACTATAAAAATACTAGAAGAAAACATAGAGAAAAGCTTCTTGCCATTGATCTGGGCAATGGTTTTTTTTTGCATATGATACCAAAATCACAGGCAATGAAAGCAAAAATAGATGAGTGGAATTATCTCAAATTAAAAAGCCTGTGCACAGCAAAGGTAACAATCAACAGAGTGAAAAGGCAGCCTACAGAATGGGAGGAAATACTTGCAAGCCATATATTTAATAAGGAGTTAATTCAAAATGTAGAGGGAATGCATATAATTAAATGGCAAGAAACAAATAAAGCAAAAACAAACAAAAAATGCAATTTAAAAATGAGCAAAAGACCTGAATAGACATTTCTCAAAAGAAAACACACAAATGGCCAACAGGTATATGAAAAGATTCTCAGTGTCACTAATGATAAGGGGAATACAAATCAAAACCACAATATGATATCACCTCACATCTGTTAGGATGGCAATTTTCAAAAGGACAAAGATAATTACTGTTGGCAAGGATGTGAAGAAAAGGCAACTCTTGTTGGTGGGAATGTAAATTGGTACAGCCATTATGGAAAGTAGTAGGGAGGTTCTTCAAAAAGTTGAATATATATCCAAAGGAAGTGAAATCAGGATCTTGAAGAGATATCTGCAGTCCCATATTCATTGCAGCCTTATTCACAATAGTCAAGATATGGAAACAACCTAAGTGTTTGTCAATGGATGAATCAATTAAAAAACGTGTTGCATATATACAATAGATTATTATTCAGCCTTAAAAAAGAAGGAAACCCTGTGGTATGGTTTGGTTATGTCCCCAACCAAATCTCATCTTGACTGTGGTAATCCCCATGTGTCAAGGGCGGGGCCAGGCAGAGAGAATTGAATCATGGGAGTAGTTCCCCCATACTGTTCTCATGGTAGTGAATAAGTCTCACAAGATCTGATAGTTCTATAAAGGAGTTCTCCTGCACAAGCTCTCTTGCCTGCCACCACGTAAGATGTGCCTTTCCTTCTCCTTTGCCTTCCGCCATGATTGTGAGGCCTCCCCAGCCATGTGGAACTGTGAGTCCATTAAACCTCTTTCCTTTATAAATTACCCAGTCTTGGGTATGTCTTTATTAGCACCGTGAGAACAGACTAATACATTTCGACAACATGGATGAACCTGGGGAACATTATGTTAAGTGAAATAAGCCAGACACAGAAAGACAAAAATTGCATGATCTCACTTAAACGGGAAATCTCAAATAGTCAAATTCATAGAAGCAGAGAGTAGAATGGGGATTGCTAGGGACTGAAGTTGAAAGGGAAATAGGGTAATGTTAGACAAAGGTACAAAGTTGCAGTTGTGAAAGATGAATAAGTTTTGGAAACCTAACGTACAGCTTGGTGATTATAGTTAATAATACTCTATTGTACACTTGAAATTTGCTAAGAGGGTACATTTAAGTGTTCTTACCACAAAAAAAAAAGAGAAGAAAATGGTGTAACTACAGTAACTGCATGAGGTGATAGTTATGTTAATTAGCTTGTTTGTAGTGGTCATTTCACAATGTATACATACATCAAAACATCAAGTAATAGACCTTAAATATGTAATTTGTATTTGTCAACTATACTTCAATCAAGTTGCTTTTAAAAAAAACATACACTCACTATACAACCTAGCATTTCCATTCAACAATCCAGAGAAATTAAAATTATGTTCACATAAAAACCTGTATACAAATGTTCATGGCAGTTTTATTTGTAATAGCCAGAAACTTGTCACAACTACAATGTCCTACAGTCAGTGAATGGTTAAAGTAATATGCCCTATCATAGAATATTACACAGAAAAGAAAAAGAAGCAAACCATTTAGAAAGACTTAATCAGTTACTTTTAAAAAACGGATCTCTGAATGAACAAATCATAACTAAAAAGAGCCTCAATTTCATTCCTCATGAGAGAAATGCCAAACAATGCTATATCATACCATTGCACACTCACCCAAATGCCTGAAATAAACAGACAATTGCCAGCATCTAGTGAGATATCACAGAAACCTGGACTAGAATGGTGATGAAGGGGATTGAAAATTGTGGATAGGTTTAGAAGATGCTCAAGAGATAAAAGTAATAGAATTTGGGGATATAAGTAAGTTGAGTCTAATTCCCTGGACAAGTGTAATACCTTTAATGCAAAGAGTTCAAAGGCCCTGGCAGCCGAAAGCTGGGCATCGTGCCCTCTTGAGGATCTAAAAGAAGTCTAGTGCAGCTTTACTACAAAGTATTTATCCATTACAGAGTAAAAAATTTTCCCTGACAGCCTTCCCATGGAATTACAGTGCCTGGAAACACAGGCTTTGGAGCTGTAGGCAAAATATGTACTAAAGAGAATTTCATAAAGATAGGTTATCACACATAGACATATGTTTTGCTTTAAAATATATGTATTTGTGTCCATCACATATCCCAGTGCGTTGTCAATATAAACTACATGAAATTGCTTGTAATAGTTCAGCCACCACCCATATCAATCTATTCACAGTTCCTACCAGTTTTATCCACATGACACTCCTTTCTTGGAAATTTAACTATTGTGGCTACAGCACATTGGTTTCACATGGGTCTTACTTCAAAGCCTGTGAAGTGTAGCTGCAGAAGAGCCCGTGAAATTAAAATCAGCACATCGAAAAAACCCAGAGTGCTAAGTGAAAAAGAAAAATACATCCAGGAGTGAAAAATGTCATCTCGGTCAGCACTTATTTTGTCCTCACTGTTGAGACTGGTAATCTCGGTTAAGAGGGATATTGGTAAAGAAACATGATCTTAGAAATTTGGCGTTGAAAGACACCTCAAAAATTCAGTAAAGCATGTTTCTCACTCGACAATTTAGGAAATTGAGGACCAGTGAGGGGAAAGATCAAAGAATGGCACAAAATGAGGTAGGGACAAAAGCAGATTGCAAATCTAGAATTATTCTAGGAGTCCTCAACACAGACCACCTTGTCACTATACCAAAATAAAGACTTTGAGGAAAGTTTTACTGGGCACTTCAGCATACAATGTCCAACAGCATTCAACGCAATTATCCTTTTGTACTGAGTACTTTTTTTGAGAAGAAATTGGAATATTCTTCCTGTATCAACTGTCCTGAAATTTTCCGGGAGAATCTGCATTCAAACAGGCTGTCTAGAACCTCTTCTGTTTTTTGTTTTCATTATGTGTATTTTGTTTCAGAGTCAATAGCTGCTCACTTGTCTTCACTGCTGGATGCATGTTGTGCTGTCAGAAATTTCTAACTATGTGAATTATTTTCATTTCTAAAAGATGAAAAAACACTAAATATTTTTCAGTTTTGCCTGGATCAGGATTTTTGTTATTTTTTTTTTTCTTTTGAGACAAGTTCTCACTGTTGCCGAAGCTGGCGCGATCTCAGCTCACTGCAGCCTTGACCTCCTGGGCTCAAGTTATCCTCCCACCTCACCCTCCGAGTAGCTGGGACTAGAGGTAAACGCCACCACATCCAGCTAATTTTGGTATTTTTTTGTACAGACAGGGTTTTGCCATGTTGCTCAGGCTGGTCTTGAACTCCTAGAGCTCGAGCAATCTGCCTACCTCAGCCTCCCAAAGTGCTACAATTACAGGGGTGAGTCACTGCACCCAGCTGATTTTTGTTAATTTTAAAGACTGTGAGTTTCCCTCAAGAGAATTAGTCATTCCCCCCACCACCTCCTCCCGTTTCCATTTAGTAGGCCTGGTTCTCCAATACCAAAAGCAGAATAACCATCTATCTTCCTTCTGGGAATCAATCACACTGTGTTGCTATCTTGTGATCAGTCACCCCACTCTCAATTCAATTTCTTTTTTTTCTTTTTCTTTTTTTTTTTTTTTGTTTTTTTTGTTTATTCATTTTTGCTTTTTTAAAAAAATTATACTTTAAGTTGTGGGATACATGTGGAGAACGTACAGGTTTGTTACATATGTATACACATGTCATGGTAGTTTGCTGCATCTGCATTAGGTATTTCTCCTAAAGCTATCCCTCTCCTAGCCCCCCATCCCCTGACAGGCCGCGGTGTGTTATGTTCCCCTCCCTGTGTCCATGTGTTCTCATTGTTCAACTCCCACTTATGAGTGAGAACATGCAGTGTTTGGTTTGCTGAGAATGATTGTTTCCAGCTTTATCCATATCCCTGCAAAGGACATGAACTCATCCTTTTTATGGCTGCATAGTATTCCATGGTGTATATGTGCCACATTTTCTTTATCCATCTATCATTGATGGGCATTTGGGTTGGTTCCAAGTCTTTGCTATTGTGAACAGTGCTGCAATAAACATATGTGTGCATGTGTCTTTATAGTAGAATGATTTATAATCCTTTGGGTATATACCTAGTAAAAGATTGCTGGGTCAAATGGTATTTCTGATTCTGGATCCTTGAGGCATTGCCGCAATGTCTTCCACAATGGTTGAACTAATTTACACTCCCACCAACTGTGTAAAAGTGTTCCTATTTCTTCACATCCTCTCCAGCATCTCTTGTTTCCTGACTTTTTAATGATCACCATTCTAACTGGTGTGAGATGGTATCTCATTGTGGTTTTGATTTGCATTTCTCTGATGGCCAGTGATGATGAGCATTTTTTCATGGGTCTGGTGGCTGCATAAATGTCTTCTTTTGAGAAGTGTCTATTCATCGCCTTTGCCCACTTTTTGATGGGGTTGTTTGATTTTTTTTCTTGTAAATTTGTTTAAGTTCTTTGTAGATTCTGGGTATCAGCCCTTCGTCAGATGGAAAGATCGCAAAAATTTTCCCATTCTGTAGGTTGCCTGTTCACTCTGATGATAGTTTCTTTTGCTATGCAGAAGCTCTTTAGTTTAATTACATCTCATTTATCAATTTTCCCTTTTGTTGCCATTGCTTTTGGTATTTAAGTCATGAAGCCTTAGCCCATGCCTATGTCCTGAATGGTATTGCCTAGGTTTCCTTCTAGGGTTTTTATGGTTTTAGGTCTTATATTGAAATCTTTCATCCATCTTGAGTTAATTTTTGTATAAGGTGTAAGAAAGGCGTCCAGTTTCAGTTTTCTGCATATGGCTAGCCAGTTTTCACAACACCATTTATTAAACAGGGAATCCTTTCCCCATTGCTTGTTTTTGTCAGGTTTTGTCAAAGATCAGATGGTTGTAGATGTGTGGTGTTATTTCTGAGGCCTCTGTTCTGTTCCATTGGTCTATGTATCTGTTTTGGTACCAGTACCATGCTGTTTTGGTTACTGTAGCCTTGTAGTATAGTTTGAAGTCAGGTAGCATGATGCCTCCAGCTTTGTTCTTCTTACTTAGGATTGTCTTGGCTATATGGGCTCTTTTTTGGTTCCATATAAAATTTAAAGTAGTTTTTTTCTAATTCTGTGAAGAAAGTCAATGGTAGCTTGATGGGAATATCATTGAATCTATAAATTACTTTGGGTAGTATGGCCATTTTCACTATATTGATTCTTTCCATCCATGAGCATGAAATGTTCTTCCATTTGTTTGTGTCCTCTCTTATTTCCTTGAGCAGTGGTTTGTAGTTTTCTTTGAAGAGGTCCTTCACATCCCTTATAAGATGTGTTCCTAGGTATTTTATTTTCTTTGTGGCAATTGTGAATGGGAGTTCACTCATGATCTGGATCTCTATTATTGGTGTATAGGAATGTTTGTGATTTTTGCACATTGATTTTGTATCCTGAGACTCTGCTGAAGTTAATTATCAGCTTAAGGAGTTTTGGGGCTGAGACAATGGGGTTTTCTAGATATACAATCATGTCATCTGCAAATAGAGACAATTTGACTTCCTGTCTTCCTATTTGAATATGCTTTATTTCTTTCTCTTGCCTTATTTCCCTGGCCAAAACTTCCAATACTATATTGAACAGGAGTGATGAGAGAGGGCATCCTTGTCTTGTGCCAGTTTTCAAAGGGAATGCTTCCAGCTTTTGCCCATTCAGTATGATATTGGCTGTGGGTTTGTCATAAATAGCTCTTATTATTTGAGATATGTTCCATCAATACCTAGTTTATTGAGCGTCTTTAGCATGAAGTGCTGTTGAATTTTATCAAAGGCCGTTTCTGCATCTATAGGGATAATCATGCTGTTTTTATCATTGGTTCTGTTTATGTGATGGATTACGTTTATTGATTTGCATTTGCTGAACCAGCCTTGCATCCCAGGGATGAAGCTGACTTGATCGTGGTGAATAAGCATTTTGATGTGCTGCTGGATTCGTTTTGCCAGTATTGTACTGAGGATTTTCGCATCGATGTTCATCAGGGATATTGGCCTGAAATTTTCTTCTTTCGTGTGTCTCTGCCAGGTTTTGGTATCAGAATGATGCTAGCCTCATAAAATGAGTTAGGGAGGATTCCCTCTTTTTCTATTGTTTGGAATAGTTTTAGAAGGAATGGTACCAGCTCCTCTTTGTACCTCTGGTAGAATTTGACTGTGAATCTGTCTTGTCCTGGGCTTTTTTTGTTGGTAGGCTATTAATTACTACCTCCATTTCAGAACTTGTTATTGGTCTATTCAGGGATTTGACTTCTTCCTATAATCTTGGGAGGGTATATGTGTCCAGGAATTTATCCATTTCTTCTGGATTTTCTAGTTTATTTGTGTATAGGTGTTTATGGTATTCTCTGATGATAGTTTGCATTTCTGTGGGATCAGTGGTGATATCAACTTTTTCATTTTTTGTTGTGTCTATTTGATTCTTCTCTCTCTTATTCTTTAATTGCCTGGCTAGTGGTCTATTTTAATCTTTTCAAAAAGCCAGATCCTGGATTCATTGATTTTTTGAAGGGTTTTTCATGTCTCTATCTCCTTCAGTTCTGCTCTGATCTTAGTTATTTCTTGTTTTCTGCTAGCTTTGAATTTGTTTGCTCTTGCTTCTCTAGTTCTTTTAATTGTGATGTTAGGGTGCTGATTTTAGTTCTTTCCTGCTTTCTCCTGTGAGCATTTAGTGCTATAAATTTCCCTTTAAGCACTGTTTTAGCTGTGTCACAGTGATTCTGGTACATCGTGTCTTTGTTCTCATTTGTTCCAAAGAACTTATTTATTTCTGCCTTAATTTTATTATTTACCCAGTATTCATTCAGGAGCAGGTTATTCAGTTTCCATGTAGTTGTGTGGTTTTGAGTGAGTTTCTTAATCCTTAGTTCTAATTTGATTGCACTGTGGTCTAAGAGACGGTCTGTTATGATTTCCATTCTTTTGCATTTGCTAAGGAGTGTTTTACTGCCAATTATGTGGTCAAGTTTAGAATAAGCATTATGTAGTGCTGAGAAGAATGTATATTCTGTTAATTTGGGGTGGAGTGTTCTGTAGATGTCTATTAGGTCCGCTTGGTCCAGAGCTAAGTTCAAGTCCTGAATGTCCTTTTTAATTTTCTGTCTCATTGGTCTAATATTGACAGTGGGGTGTTAAAGTCTCCCACTATTATTGTGTGGGAGTCTAAGTCTCTTTGTAGGTCTCTAAGGACTTGCTTTCTGAATCTGCATGCTCCTGTATTGAGTGCATATATATTTAGCATAGTTAGCTCTTCTTGTTGCATTGATCCCTTTACCATTATGTAATGCTCTTCTTTGTCTCTTTTGATCTTTGTTGGTTTAAAGTCTGTTTTATCAAAGACTAGGATTGTTACCTCTGCTTCTTTTTGCTTTCCATTTGCTTTGTAAATATTCCTCCATCCCTTTATTTTGAGCCTATGTGTGTCTCTGCATGTGAGATGGGTCTCCTGAATACAGCACACTGATGGGTCTTGAGTCTATCCAATTTGCCAGTCTGTGTCTTTTAATTGGAGCATTTAGCCTATTTACATTTAAGGTTAATATTGTTATGTGTGAATTTGATCCTGTCATTATGATGTTAGCTGGTTACTTTGCCCATTAGTTGATGCAGTTTCTTCATAGTGTCAATGGTCTTCACAATTTGGTATGCTTTTGCAGTGGCTGGGACCACTTTTTCCTTTCCATGTTTAGTGCTTCCTTCAAGAGCTCTTGTAAGGCAGGCCTGGTGGTGACAAAGTCTCTCAGCATTTGCTTCTCTGTAAAGGATTTTATTTCTCCTTCATCTATGAAGCTTAGTTGGCTGGATATGAAATTCTGGATTTAAAAGTCTTTCCTGTAAGAATGTTGAATATTGGCCCCCACTCTCTTGTGGCTTGTAGGGTTTCTGTGGACAGATTCGCAGTTAATCTGATGGGCTTCCCTTTGTGGGTGACCCGACTTTTCTCTATGGCTGCCCTTAACTTCTTTTCTTTCATTTCAATCTTGGTGAATCTGACAATTATGTGTTTTGGGGTTGGTCTTCTTGAGGAGTATCTTTGTGGTGTTCTCTGTATTTCTTGAATTTAAATGTTGGCCTGTCTTGCTAGATTGGGGAAATTCTCCTGGATAATATCCTGAAGAGTGTTTTCCAACTTGGTTCCATTCTCCCCATCACTTTCAGATACATTAATCAAATGTAGGTTTGGTCTTTTCACATAGTCCCATATTTCTTGGAGCCTTTGTTCATTCATTTTCATTCTTTTTTCTCTAATATTTTATTCCTGCTATGTTTCATTAAGTTTATCTTCAATCTCTGATATCCTTTCTTCCACTTGATTGATTTGGCTGTTGATACTTGTGTGTGCTTCACAAAGTTCTCGTGCTGTGTTTTTCAGCTCCATCAGGTCATTTATGTTCTTCTCTAAACTGTTTATTCTAGTTAGCAACTCCTCTAACCTTTTTCCAAGGCTCTTAGCTTCCTTGCATTGGGTTAGAACATGCTCCTTTAGCTCAGAGGAGTTTGTTTTTACACACCTTCTGAAGCCTA
Organism: Homo sapiens; assembly: GCF_000001405.40. Lineage (NCBI taxonomy): Eukaryota > Metazoa > Chordata > Mammalia > Primates > Hominidae > Homo > Homo sapiens. The sequence goes on along the minus strand of NC_000001.11, from coordinate 65,653,140 downwards.
CTTCAGAACTCATTCTCCGTCCAGTTTTGTTCCCTTGCTGGCGAGGAGTTGTGGTCCTTTAGAGGAGAAGAGGAGTTCTATTTTTGCATTTTCAGCCTCTTTGCACTGGCTTTTCCTCATCTTCATGGATTTATCTACCTTTGGTCTTTGATGTTGGTGACCTTTGAAAGGGGTTTCTGTGTGGACATCCTTTTTGTTGATGTTGATACTATTCCTTTCTGTTTGTTAGTTTTCCTTCTAACAGTCAGGCCCCTCTGCTGCAGGTCTGCTGGAGTTTGCTGGAGGTCCACTCCAGACCCTGTTTGCCTGGGTATCACCAGCAGAGGCTGCAGAACAGCAAAGATTCCTGCCTGTTCCTTCCTCTGGAAGCTTCGTCCCAGAGGGGCACCCACCCGATGCCAGGCTGAGCTCTCTTGTATGAGGTGTCTGTCAACCCCTGCTGAGAGGTGTCTCCCAGTCAGAAGTCACAGGGGTCAGGGACCCACTTGAGGAGGCAGTCTGTACCTTAGTAGAGCTTGAGCACTGTGCTGGGAGATCTGCTGCTCTCTTCAGAGCCAGCAGGCAAGAACGTTTAAGTCTGCTGCAGCTGCACCCACAGCCACCTCTTCCCCAAGGTGTTGTGTCCCAGGGAGATGGGAGTTTTATCTATAAGCCCCTGACTGAGGTTGCTGCCTTTCTTTCAGAGATGCCCTGCCAAGGGTGGAGGAATCTAGAGAGGCAATCTGGCTACAGCAGCTTTGGTTTGCTGTGGTGGGCTCCGCAGAGAAGGACTTCCTGGTGGCTTTGTTTATGCTGTGAGAGGAAAACTACCTACTCAAGCCTCAGTAATGGCAGATGCCCCTCCCTCCACCAAGCTTGAGTGTCCCAGGTCAACTTCAGACTACTGTGATGGCAGCGAGAATTTCAAGCCAGTGGATCTTAACTTGCTGGCCTCCATGGGAATGGGATCTGCTGAGCTAGACCACTTGGCCCCCTGGTTTCAGCCCCTTTTCCATGGGAGTGAACAGTACTGTCTTGCTGGTGATCCACATGCCAATGGGGTGTGAAAAAAAAACTCCTGAACCTAGCTCAGTGTCTGCCCAAACAGCTGCCCAGTTTTGTGCTTGAAACCCAGGGCCCTGGTGGTTTAGGCCTCTGAGGGAATCTCCTGGTGTGGGGGTTGCGAAGACCATGGGAAAAGCATAGTATCTGGGCTGGAGTGCACCATTCCTCATGGCACAGTCCTTCACGGCTTCCCTTGGCTAGGGGTGGGAGCTCCCCAACCCCTTGTGCTTCCTGGGTGAGGCAACTCCCCACCCTGCTTCTGCTCACCCTCCATGGGCTGCACCCACTGTCTAACCAGTCCCAGTGAGATGAGCCAGGTACCTCAGTTGGAAATGCAGAAATCACCCACCTTCTGTGTTGTTCTCGATGGGAGCTGAAGATCAGAGCTATTCCTATTCAGCCATCTTGCCAGCCTTCACCTCAATTCAATTCCTTTTTCTCCCTCTCTGTTGAGATATTGCTAGCTATCAGTATAAAATCCAATCAAACTGGTTTAAACCACAAGAAAAAAGGAGGATCTCCTCTGTTAGGAGTTTTGGAGTGGGAAGTTACAGGACTGCTGAAGTTCAGTACTGCCTTCTTGAACCAAACCTTTTCCCCTTTTCTCCTCTGCCTTCCTTAGCAATTTGACCAAGTTTTCCAGTCTCTGTGGTTCTGATACTGTCATCCATTGTTCCTGCTGACTGTCAGTCAAGGGATCATGTCCCTGTGTAAGTAATGTTGTTAATGACCTTATATTCCTTGGAATTTTGAAGTCTCCCAGGGTCTTGGTTGAATGTGGATTTTCCCAGAAGCTATTTGCATTTGCTTCTACAATGTATCTTAGATGCTCAAGCAATACAGGACTCTTAAAACTAAATATGTTCCTTGTTGTTTTTCTAGACCACATAGGTAGTATGAATTTTGGCCCAAAATTAATGAGTATGAAAATCTGAGGATAGAAATTTGAGTGTTCACAAATCTGAGTGTAGGAATTCTCAGGACAGTTCTTCTTTTCCTTTCATTTTTTCAACTCAGTCCAGAGCAATGACTGAACTAAGCAATAAGCCCTATGTATTAGTACACCCTTGCACTGCTAAAAAGACATAACTGAGACTGGGTAATTTATAAAGAAAAGAGGCTTAATTGGCTCATGGTTTCACAGGCTGTACAGGAAGCATGACAGCTTCTGGGGAGGCCTTAGGAAACTTGCAAATCATGGTGGAAGGGGAAGGGGAAGCAGTCACGTCTTACATGGCTAGAGCAGGAGGAAGACTTTGTTAAACTAACTGTTATCTTTCTGGTCACTTCTCTACCCAATTAACTACCCTGGCCCAACCCCCTTTGCCTTATCACATTTCTCAACTTACAATTCTTTGTCTAATTTGGTACATAAGTAACTGATTCTATTTCTTTGGGTCTTCATTTTACTCCTGTTAACCCATCTTATGTCAATTTAATTCTCAGGCCCAGCTGGGACCTTGAAGATGGTGGTGTTTTGCCTCCCCTCCAGAGTGAAAGGGGTCATTATATATACATAAATAAAGACTTGGTCAGACACAGTGGGATGGATAACCACCCTATTTATAGCCCCACATTTAAATCATAAAGCTTAGAGCACTGCAATGTACTGAATGCTTGTGTCCCTCCAAAATTCATATGCTGAAATCTTAACCACCTTGTAATGACATCAGGAGGTGGGGCCTTTGGGAAGTAATTAGATCATGAGGATAGAGTCCTCATGAATGGGATTAGAGTCCTTATAAAAGAGACCCCAGGGAACTTGGTAGCTCTCTTTCTGCCATGTGAGGATACCGTGATAAAATGGCAGTCTGCAACCTGGAAGAGGGCCTTCACCAGAGCATCCAGAGCCATAAGAAATAAATGTCTATTATTTATAACCCACCCAGTCTGTGGCACTTTGTTACAGCAGCCTGAACTGACTAAGACAAGCACTTACCAAATTTCTAATGTTTCATATCAAAGAAAGAATGATTCTGGGAAGAATTCAGTATTACAGATATTATATGAATTATTTGTCTTGATTATTATTTAAAAAGAAGTAATATTTTCATGACAAATTTGTTTTATAATTGACATATAATCTTGGGCTACTAAATATTGTAGTGATGATATTTTCAACCCTTTTAACTCCAATTAAAATATCAACAGAATTTTTTTATTATAAAAACTTAATTCAGCTAAAACTACTCTGGAAAGAACATCAATTCGGTATAATAAGAAAGGTGGAGAATCTCGCTCTCCAGGTATTAAATTTATTGAGTAGCTGTGGTAATTATAAATTTAGTACTAGAGAAAAAAATAGATTGAACAGTCAATGAAAAAGAATAAAAAGTCCAGAAATAAACACAAACATACTTGTGAATTAGTAAGTGATAAATGTGACATTTTATGTGAGTGGAATAAAAGATTGTCTTCCCAGAATCAAATTCTGCTGGAAGGAGTATAAATTAGTTCAACCATTGTTGAAGACAATATGGCCATGCCTCAAAGACCTAGAACCAGAAATACCATTAGACCCAGCAATTCTATTACTGGGTATATACCCAAAGGAATATAAATCATTGTATTTTAAAGACAGATGCACACGTATGTTCATTGCAACACTGTTCACAAAAGCAAAGATATGGAATCAACATAAAAGTCCACCAATGATAGACTGTATAAAGAAAATGTGGTACATATACACCATGGAATACTATGCAGCCATAAAAAGGAATGAAGTCCAGTCCTTTGCAGAGACATGGATAGAGCTGGAGGCCATTATCCTTAGCAAACTAACAAGGGGACAGAAAATCAAACACCACATGTTCTCACTTATAAGTAGGAGCTAAATGATGAGAACATGTGGACACATAGAGAGGAACAACACACACTGGAGACTACCAGAGGGCAGATGATGGGAGGAGAAAGAAGATCAGGAAAAAATGACTAATGTATAGTAAGTATATTAGTCCATTCTCACACTGCTATAAAGAAATGCCTGAGACTGGGAAATTTATAAAAGAGGTTTAATTGACTCACAGTTCTGCATAGGTTGGGAGGCCTCAGGAAACTTACAATGGAAGGTGAAGAGGAAGCAAGCTTGGAACTTCTCACGTGGTGGCAGGAGAGAAAAGAATGAGGAGTGAAGGGGAAAGATCTCCTTATAAAACTATCAGATCTCAGGAGAACTCATTCACTATCACAGGAACAGCATGAGGGAAACCGCCCCCATGATCCAATCACCTCCCACCAGGTCTCTCTCTGGACATGTGGGGATTATGGAGATTACAATTCAAGATGAGATTTGGGACAGAAGGCCTAACCATATCACTAGGCCTAATACCTGGCTGGTGAAATAATCTGTACATCAAACCACACATCAAACCGCACATTTACTTATGTAACAAACCTGCACATCCTGCACATGCACCCCTGAACTTAAAATAAAAGTTAAAAGAAAAAGAAAAAAAAATCAAAATGAAGTATTGAGACAAAAAACTGTAGGAAAAAGAGACATGTGGACCTAGGCCAAAATACTTACCATGTATGAAACTGATAGTTCCAGAAGGAGAGGATAAATAAAATGAGACAAAATTGATGAAGAAATAATGGCTGAGGATTTTCCAAATCTAATGAAAATTCTCTATCCACAGATAGAAGACTCTCAAGGAGTATGAATCATGATAAGTAAAAAGAAAACCACACCTAGGCATATAATAGTCAAACTGCTGAAAAGCAAAGATAAGGAGAAAAGTCTTAAATGCCAACAAAAATACACAATAAAAGACATATTACCTTAAGGGAAACAAAACAATGGCTAACTTTTCAACAGTAATAATAGAAGCCAGAAGGCAATAAAATGGCAACTTACAATGAAGAAAAATAACTGTCAACTTCGAATTCTATAGTCACTAAATATATCTGTAAGAAAACGAAGGTGAAATTATGATCCCAAAGTCTGAAAGAATTTGTCACTGTTGATTTACAGTACAAGAAATACTGAAAGAAATTCTTTAGGATGAAAAAATATTATCCAAGCAGGAAAAACAGAGATGCAAGAAGAAACAAACAGCACTGTGTCAGGCCTCTGAGCCCAAGCCAAGCCATCGCATCCCCTGTGACTTGCACATATATGCCCAGATGGCCTGAAGTAACTGAAGAATCACAAAATAAGTGAAAAGGTCCTGCCCCGCCTTAACTGATGACATTCCACCATTGTGATTTGTTCTTGCCCCACCTTAACTGAGTGATTAACCCTGTGAATTTCCTTCTCCTGGCTCAGAAGCTCCCCAACTGAGGACCTTGTGACCCCCGCCCCTGCCCACCAGAGAACAACCCCCTTTGACTGTAATTTTCCTTTACCTAACCAAATCCTATAAAACGGCCCCACCCGTATCTCCCTTCGCTGACTCTCTTTTCAGACTCAGCCCGCCTGCACCCAGGTGAAATAAACAGCCATGTTGCTCACAGAAAGCCTGTTTGGTGGTCTCTTCACATGGACGCGCATGAAATTTGGTGCCGTGACTCGGATTGGGGGACCTCCCTTGGGAGATCAATCCCCTGTCCTCCTGCTCTTTGCTCCATGAGAAAGATCCACCTACGACCTCAGGTTCTCAGACGGACCAGCCCAAGAAACATCTCACCAATTTCAAATACGGTAAGCGACCTCTTTTTACTCTCTTCTCCAACCTCCCTCACTATCCCTCAACCTCTTTCTCCTTTCAATCTTGGCGCCACACTTCAATCTCTCCCTTCTCTTAATTTCAATTCCTTTCATTTTCCAGTAGAGACAAAGGAGATATGTTTTATCCGTGGACCCAAAACTCCGGCGCCGGTCACGGACTGGGAAGGCAGCCTTCCCTTGGTGTTTAATCATTGCAGGGACGCCTCTCTGATTATTCACCCACGTTTCAAAGGTGTCAGAACATGCAGGGACGCCTGCCTTGGTCCTTCACCCTTAGCGGCAAGTCTCGCTTTTCTGGGGAAGGTGCAAGTACCCCAACCCCTTCTCTCCTTGTCTCTACCCCTTCTCTGCTTTTCTGGGGAAGGGGCAAGTACCCCAACCCCTTCTCTCCTTGTCTCTACCCCTTCTCTGCTTTTCTGGGGAAGGGGCAAGTAACCCAACCCCTTCTCTCCTTGTCTCTACCCCTTCTCTGCTTTTCTGGGGGAGGGGCAAGTACCCCTCAACCCCTTCTCCTTCACCCTTAGCGGCAAGTTCTGCTTTCCTGGGGCAGGGGCAAGTACCCCTCAACCCTTTCTCCTTCACTCTTAGCGGCAAGTCCCGCTTTTCTGGGAGAGGTACAAGTACCCTCAACCTCTTCTCTTTCACCCTTAGCGGCAAGTCCCGCTTTTCTGGGGGAGGGGCAAGTACCCCTCAACCCCTTCTCCTTCACTCTTAGTGGCAAGTCCCGCTTTTCTAGAGGAGGGGCAAGTACCCCAACCTCGTATCTCTGCACCCCAATCCCTTATTTCCGTGCCCCAACCTCTTATATCTCTACACCCCAATCCCTTATTTCCTTGCCCCGACCCCTTATTTCCGTGCCCTGACCCCTTATTTCCATGCCCCTACCCCTTATTTCCGTACCCCAACCCCTTATTTCTGCGCCCCATCCCTTATTTCCATGCCCCGACCTCTTATCTCTGCGCCCCAACCCCTTTTCCCACTTTTCTGGAAGGTAAGAACCCCCGAACCCCTTCCCTCCGTTTCTCTACTCTCTCTTTTCTCTAGGCTTGCTTGCTTCCTTCACTATAGGCAACCTTCCACCCTCCATTCCTCCTTCTACTCCCTTGGCCTGTGTTCTCAAAAACTTAAAACCTCTTCAACTCACACCTGACCTAAAACCTAAATGCCTTATTTTCTTCTGCAATGTCGCTTGACCCCAATACAAACTCGACAGTAGTTCCAAATAGCCAGAAAATGGCACTTTGAATTTTTCCATCCTGCAAGATCTAAATAATTCTTGTCGTAAAATAGGCAAACGGTCTGAGGTGCCTGACGTCCAGGCATTCTTTTACACGTCAGTCCCTATCTAGTCTCTGTGCCCAGTGCAACTCGTCCCAAATCTTCCTTCTTTCCCTCCCACCTGTCCCCTCAGTACCAACCCCAAGCATCACTGAGTCTTTCTAATCTTCCTTTTCTACAGACCCATCTGACCTCTCCCTTCCTCCCCAGGCTCCTCGCCAGGCTCCTCGCCAGGCCAAGCTAGGTCCCAATTCTTCCTCAGCCTCTGCTCCTCCACCCTATAATCTTTTTATCACCTCCCCTCCTCACACCTGGTCTGGCTTACAGTTTCGTTCCGTGACTAGCCCTCCCACTCCTGCCCAGCAATTTACTCTTAAAAAGGTGGCTGGAGCTAAAGGCATGGTCAAGGTTAATGCTCCTTTTTCTTTATCCCAAATCAGATAGCGTTTAGGCTCTTTTTCATCAAATATAAAAATCCAGCCCAGTTCATGACTTGTTTGGCAGCAACCCTGAGACACTTTACAGCCCTAGACCCTAAAAGGTCTAAAGGCCGTCTTATTCTCAAAATACATTTTATTACCCAATCTGCTCCCGACATTAAATAAAATTTCAAAAATTAAATTCCAGCCCTCAAACCCCACAACAGGAGTTAATTAACCTTGCCTTCAAGGTGTACAATAATAGAAAAAGTTGCAATTCCTTGCCTCCACTGTGAGACAAACCCCAGCCACATCTCCAGCACACAAGAACTTCCAAACACCTGAACCGCAGCAGCCAGGCTTTCCTCCAAAACCTCCTCCCATAGGAGCTTGCTACATGTGCCGGAAATCTGGCCACTGGGCCAAGGAATGCCCGCAGCCCAGGATTCCTCCTAAGCCGCGTCCCATCTGTGTGGGACCCCACTGAAAATCGGACTGTTCAACTCACCTGGCAGCCACTCCCAGAGCCCCTGGAACTCTGGCCCAAGGCTCTCTGACTGACTCCTTCCCAGATCTTCTCGGCTTAGCGGCTGAAGACTGACACTGCCCGATCGCCTCGGAAGCCCCCTGGACCATCACGGATGCCAAGCTTCCGTAACTCTCACAGTGGAAGGTAAGCCCGTCCCCTTCTTAATCAATATGGAGGCTACCCACTCCACATTACCTTCTTTTCAAGGGCCTGTTTCCCTTGCCTCCATAACTGTTGTGGGTATTGACGGCCAGGCTTCTAAACCTCTTAAAACTCCCCAGCTCTGGTGCCAACTTAGACAATACTCTTTTAAGCACTCCTTTTAGTTATCCCCACCTGCCCAGTTCCCTTATTAGGCTGAGACACTTTAACTAAATTATCTGCTTCCCTGACTATTCCTGCACTACAGCTGTATCTCATTGCCGCCCTTCTTCCCAATCCAAAGCCTCCTTTGCGTCCTCCTCTTGTATCCCCCACCTTAACCCACAAGTATAAGATACCTCTACTCCCTCCTTGGCGACCGATCATGCACCCCTTACCATTTCATTAAAACCTAATCACCCTTACCCCACTCAATGCCAATATCCCATCCTGCAGCACGCTTTAAAAAGATTAAAGCCTGTTATCACTTGCCTGCTACAGCATGGCCTTTTAAAGCCTATAAACTCTCCTTACAATTCCCCCATTTTACCTGTCCTAAAACCAGACAAGGCTTACAAGTTAGTTCAGGATCTGCGCCTTATCAACCAAATTGTTTTGCCTATCCACCCCATGGTGCCAAACCCATATACTCTCCTATCCTCAATACCTCCCTCTACTACCCATTATTCTGTTCTGGATCTCGAACATGCTTTCTTTACTATTCCTTTGCACCCTTCATCCCAGCCTCTCTTTGCCTTCACTTAGACTGACCCTGACACCCATTAGGCTCAGCAAATTACCTGGGCTGTACTGCCGCAAGGCTTCACAGACAGCCCCCATTACTTCAATCAAGCCCAAATTTCATCCTCATCTGTTAGTCATACTCCTATTCACCATTCTCAACTACTCATACATGCCCTGCTCTTGTTTACACTGCCGGTTTACACTGTTTCTCCAAGCCATCACAGCTGATATCTCCTGGTGCTATCCCCAAACTGCCACTCTAAACTCTTGAAGTAAATAAATAATCTTTGCTGGCAGGACTATGCTGAATCTCCTTAGGCACTCTCTAATCAGATATCCTGAGTCGTCCCAATTCTTAGACCTTTTATACCTGTTTTTCTCCTTCTGTTACTCCATTTAGTTTCTCAATTCATCCAAAACGGTATCCAGGCCATCACCAATCATTCTATACGACAAATGTTTCTTCTAACATCCCCACAATATCACCCCTTACCACAAGACTTCCCTTCAGCTTAATCTCTCCCACTCTAGGTTCCCATGCCGCCTCTAATCCCCCTTGAAGCAGCCCTGAGAAACATCACCCATTCTCTCTCCATATCACCCCCCAAAAATTTTTGCCACCCCAACACTTCAACACTATTTTGTTTTACTTTTCTTATTAATATAAGAAGGCAGGAATGTCAGGCTTCTGAGCCCAAGCCAAGCCATCGCATCCCCTGTGACTTGCACGTATATGCCCAGATGGCCTGAAGTAACTGAAGAATCACAAAAGAAGTGAAAAGGTCCTGCCCCGCCTTAACTGATGATATTCCACCATTGTGATTTGTTCCTGCCCCACGTTAACTGAGTGATTAACCCTGTGAATTTCCTTCTCCTGGCTCAGAAGCTCCCCAGCTGAGCACCTTGTGACCCCCGCCCCTGCCCACCAGAGAACAACCCCCTTTGACTGTAATTTTCCTTTACCTACCCAAATCCTATAAAACGGCCCCACCCGTATCTCCCTTCGCTGACTCTCTTTTCAGACTCAGCCCGCCTGCACCCAGGTGAAATAAACAGCCTTGTTGCTCACACAAAGCCTGTTTGGTGGTCTCTTCACACGGACGCGCATGAAACACTGCAAGGATCAAATTTGAAAGACTGTTGATTATATAAAGCTACAATAAAATAATGCTTCTGATGTTTATAAAATATACAGAAATAAGATATATGACAAAAGTAGCCAAAAATGGCAGGAGAGGAATTAATTAAATGTTACTCAAAATTATTACATATTAGAGAAATGCAAGTTAAAAGCACAAGTAAGCATTATGCAACCATCAGAATGGCTAAAATTTTAAAGGTTGTCAATATCAATGTTGATCATGATATGATATATGGAGCAACTGGAACTGTCCTATGTTGCTGATGGCAGCATAAATTTATTCAACCATTACTTGGACGTATCTGTTAAAGCAAAACAAAATCCTAACCTATGACCCAGCAGTATTACTCCTAGGTATATACTCAGGAGGAAATGTGTAAAAATTCATTAAACTATATACCGAAGGCTTGTGCATTTTACGGTACATATCTCAAGAAAAACTTAAGAACACAAATGTAAAATGAATGATAAGAAATCAAAAATCCTAATAGAAAAATAGGCAAAAGAAAATAACATGAATATAAAAAGTAGAGGAAAACAGATGCTTATAAACATATGAAAATACGCTCCATTTCATTCATCAAGTTACAATTAAAATACCAAAATGATACTGAAGCCAATTTGAGTTCATTTACCACATTTGCAACCAAAATTCCTGACAAGTAGTTTTACAAAAGCATGACAAGACATAATTACGTATGAGAATGATCACTTCAGTATTGCTCATAATAGTAAAAAAGATTGGAGAGTTTCTAAATATTCACCAATTGTGAACTGTTAAATTATTGTATTTTGGCAAAATGGAATACTATGCAACTATTAAAATTAATGAAGTAGCTATGTTTGAATTTATATAGAAATATCGCTAAGATACAGGAAAAGGGTAATTTCATAATATTAAGCAGAATAATATCCTAACTGTGTACATGCTTTTAAAATGGTAAAATAATAACAGGGTTATTTTAGGGAATAGGAACGGAAGATTGGGAGTGGAAAGAGACCATCACTTTTTATTTTATATTTCTCAGTACTATTCGAAAGGTTTTCTGTGTGCATTTGTTTTAATTACACTTTAAGATTAAAAAGCAAGAAAAAGAGATATATGTCTGAATACAAGCTCAAGTAGTGACAAAACACAAATTGCTAGAAAGCCTAAGTGATAAAACATATGTTCATAAATCACTATAAATCAAGATTTCTTAGAGAACTAAAGACTCAAACTACAAGACCTAAAGACTCAAACTAAAGAGCTCTTAAAGATTGAAACGAGTATCTTTCTTGATGATTAAAATGAGTAATCTTTCATCACAAGCGGCTATAATGCCAGCAAGAATCTGGTGTGGGATGATCTATTGAGACATTACCAAAGAGAGTAACAGTAAAGGGAGGTCCTGGGAACTAAAATGTTTTCAAACCCCTTACAAATGCTAAGCATATGTCTTTCGGAATTTTGAAGACACAACGACAGGCTAACAATGGATAAACATTTTGTATTAACTGTTTGTATAAACCACAAGGATTACTTCTTTATATTTTCAAATGTTAGCTGAAATAATATCATTATTTTATTTACCATACAACAGATATAATCCTAAAGTAACTTAAACTCATAATAATTCTTTTTGGACTTTTATTTCTCAAAATTAACACTGCTTATAATTCATAATGATAAAAAGATAAATATACTGTCATAAAGTACACTGCTTTCTCTGTGACTTTGGGAACATAAAGGAGAAGTAGACAAATTTCATAGAACAGTTAGTGATGCATATCTTGGCACTTACGTTTATAACATTTATTAAAATACCAGTTGTGACTAAAGAGAAAGTATTAACCACATGCCAAACACTTAATGACAGGTTTTAAAAGTACAATATCTACAATATAGATATCTCACTACAAAATTAAATGTCTTCCAAATTCAGTCTCAGTTCCAGGTTTTTTTAGTAAATATGTCAGAAAGCCTCATAAAATTGAATTTAATGCCATACATCTTAAGCATAATTAATTTTGAAAAAGACATTTTCAGCAGCTTTCCAAAATAAATATTGATAAACTTTATAGAAAAATAATTCATTCACTATAAAACCTCATGAAGGGCTAGGCGCGGCAGCTCTCACACCTGTAATCCCAGAACTTTGGGAGGCCAATGAGGGCGGATCACTTGAGGTCAGGAGTTCAAGACCAGCCTGGCCAACAGGGCAAAACCCCATCTCTACTAAAAATCCAAAATAAATAAATAAATAAATAAAAGCTGGGCATGGTGGTGTGCCCGTAATCCCAGCTACTGGGGAGGCTGAGGCAGGAGAATCGCTTGAACCTGGGAAGCAGGGGTTGCAGTGAGCCGAGATCACATCACTGCACTCCAGCTGGGCAACAGAGCAAGACTTCCTAAAAAAAAAAAAAAAAAAGCCATGGAAATCATCTCCTAATGTTTATACAAATACATGTAACAACAATATCCCAGTTCTCATACAGGCTGAATATGTAACAATATCCCAGTTCTCATACAGGCTGATCATGTTTTAAGTTGTTCGCCTAACATTGTGATTAGATGCAGGTGTGCTTTACTGTTTTAAACTGGTTAAGAAAGAGTAAAATTACCTACTTATGTAGCTTCCTTTTATAAATACTTCTTCACATTTCTTGGTAACTATGTTTAAATTTTTTCTTGAATGCTGCTTCTTTCAGTCATAGTAGAGTGGACAACTATAATTTTGTGACTTAAAATTTAAGAATGGGCTTTCTCAATAATAAATAGCTGAGAAAGGTTTGTTAAGGTAACTATCAAGATGACCCTTGAAAGATGAAAAGTGAAACAAATTTCTTTTAAGGTCACAGAAAATAATTTAGCAAGAGATCTTTTTTCATCCACATCTAAGTGAGATGGAACTTTGTGGTTGCAGTATGTCTTGATCCATCAGCATATTGTCCAACTCCGCCTGTGAGCCCTGTATGCATAATTCTCAACTCTTACAGCCTAAAGTTTATTTTCTTTCAGTTTTGGAGGAGGTAATATAAATATTCCTGAAGTAATGTGACCATATATATGATATTATGGAAGAGAGAATAAGTTTTATTAGGGAAAAATGAGAAGTAGAAGAATGACATGCCTAAGGTTATAAAACCTTATTCTAAATCCAGAATCTCACACTGGTATTGGAATTTCATCCAAGTCCTTTTACCATTTGGTGACTAGGTTTAAAAAGAAAAAAAAAACTGCTCCTATTTTTCTTGTCAACTTGTAGCTCATCTCTAAATGGACACAGAGATCCAACAGAAGGTGCCTATTCATAGTGACATGTACGTCAACTTTTTCATTGTTCTTGGGGGTTTAAGTTAGAAATCCTGTAATCCTGCAAACCCTGACATATGATTTCTCTTCAAACAATCTATTTAAACTTGAAGCCACAGCACAAATTATTAATTTCTGAGTTGCTTTCAATGAAGGTCAGATTTAGAAAGACTGATTAGTAGCTTGTGTTTCGGTTTAAGGCCTTAAAATGAAATATTAAAAATTCCAGATTTATAAGTTTAAAAGACCATAGCCCCTATTTCAGCTCCTCCTTCCTTTTAAATTTTTTTTATAGAAGCTGTGGGAAGAAATGGGAAGTTCCTGACCATTCTGAGGCATAAAACATTCTAAATTTTTTCTAAATTATGTGAAAATCCAGTATTTCATGGCAGGTAGTTTTCACAAGGTCCCAATAAAATGTAATGATACATAGTGAAATAAACTTTCAAAAGTGGAAATCAGAATTCAAGCCCATTGACAATAAATATGATCTAAGTCTATACATACCAATAGGCCAAACTATACTTGTTCAGCACTGTCCATGAAATAGTGCCTTGGAATTTCAATATTTCTGAAGTGCATTTTTGTTCATTTGTTCACTTATCTGGGGAACTGAGGCTGAACCAAGATGGTATCAATGATCTCAGGTTAATGTGCTGTCACTACATTTCTTTACACAGACCTACAGCACTACAGTGGTCCTGGGACTGTTGAATTCACTCAAGTAAGATACATACATCCTTGGGCTGATGAAAACATCTATCAGTTTCTCTTTCCTGTTATTCTGGGTCCCAGATCACAGGAGAATACTGTGTCTCAGCGGACATGCTCAGAGGTCAGTCTTCAATTTCAGAGTGGGGCAAAATTTATTTTTCTATCTCTTCTGTACTGTACCTTCAATTAAATACCAATAATCTATAAGCATGTATTTAAAATGTCAATTTTACTAAAATTTTTATACATGTAATAATTTATCTGTTTCTGTGTCTCTAAAGCCATGTAAAATTATCCATGAAAAAAACGCTTCTCCATTTATCTTTGCATAGAACTAAGGCTCTCGTACCACATCAAGTAATGAGTTGCTATCAGCCCTTTACCTATTTCTTGTAAGGGGGTCATTAGTTGAGTATGTGAGATCCTGAGACATCTTAAAAATACTTATGACATGGAATAACTTTATTGATTCCTGAGTGGAAATTGATTATAAAGTGTGAAAAATATCTATCAAGTGGGGTCTGGAATCTTTGTCATTGTTTAGAACTGCTCACTTCATAGCCACAACTGGACTAGAGATGGAATGTAGAGATTTATTTAGGATAACAGTAAAATTGGGAGTCTCTTGTCTCGGTCTAAATATGAAATTCTGATAATTTTTAAAAACCCATAGGCATATTTTTGAACACTAAAGTACTTATTTTGATGATACTGATATTCTTGAAGGTCTTCTTGCCACTGAACATCCAAATGTGCAGGTTTCTTAATTTAGTTTGTTGCCCAATATGCTGTCTTTGAATTTTTTTACCGTACCAAAAGTTGAATAAATAATAAACTTATGTATTAATCTTAAGTTGTTAAAGGCAAACATGAGATCTGTGCAATTCTCACTTAATTTCTCATCCAGCATTATACTTCTACTTAATACATTTTATAATCTTTATTTTTTCTGTCACACTCAGCTAATTTTTGTGTTTTTTGTAGAGACGAGGCCTCACTATGTTGCCCCGGCTAGTTTCAAGACTTCTGAGCTCAAGCGATCCACCCGCCTCAGCCTCCCAAAGTGCTGGGATTACAGGCATGCACCACTGTGCCAGCCTCTACTTAATAAATTTTGATTACAAGTCAGTTTTTTTAAATTGATGGCTATGTAGGGTATAGGTTAAAAACATAATCATTAGCATTAAAAAATCTGGATTTAAATCTGAACTCTGATTCCATCACCCACTGACTGTAACTGTGGGCAAATTATTTACTGTCTTCATCTTTAAGGAGTATCATAGTAACAGATGTCTCATACAATTATTTCAATAATTAACTGGGTTAAGGTATGTAAAGTACTGCACAGTGGTTGGTTTATGTAGACAGAATGCTCAGTGAGGGGAAAAAATAGGATATGTCCAGGTGGGGATGGGGGAAGACAATTATTCCGGAGAGATATACAGTGACATTTGGCAATCTAACTTTATCAGAAAGTGACCACTTCAACATCTTTCAGAGAGAAGAATTAAAACTGACATTATGTTTTCAAAAGTGCTTGTGTTGTCATCAAAATACTGATTGTGGGCATCACCATTCTTGCAGGTTATTTCATTCTATGGTACATATCTTAGATTTGGTACATAACAATTGGCTCATTAGTCTTCACAAGTATAACCCCTTAGGCCAGGGCTGAATTCTGTTTATCTTAAACATTTAGGAAAGTCCTACTTCAAATCCTACAGTCTGATAGCACAAAATATAAATACATAATATACTCTCAAAACACACAAGGACATGTGTTAAGAATGTGTGTGTGTGTGTGTGTTGGTACAAAACAAAAACTTGAGGTAAAACAACACGCCCTCTGAAAAAACAATTACATCTCACAAAAGATGGTGTCTGTTGGGCTTATTTCTAGCTGGAAACAAGGGACCTTCCCACTAGAGCTTGGGAATAAAATAGAAGAGCGTGTCTACATTGGTAGGCTTATGAAGGCTTTCTCAAATTTTTTGTCTATGTTACTAAGAGAGAACAAACAGACAACATTCATTTGGAACAATTATTTTCAAATTTGACTCTGGTTTCTTTTCTCTCTCCCACCCACAACTATAATCTATTACACTTTATATTACCCATTATAACACAAATCTGAAGGTTTCTTCAGTGAAATTACACAGTTAGGTCACACATCTTGTTTTCCATGATCTTATGAGTCTGAGTAGAACAAGTTTGGAATTGAGGCATGTAAGATGCAAAAGTCTTCTTACTAGAAGTTCCTAAGTTGATATTATTTTCTACAAAGTGTGAGCAACTGTCCTGGAGAACTCTGATGTCCGTGAATAAACAGGGGGCTGGGAATGGGCACGATACCCTTGACTTGTCAGTCAAAAGCACACCACTCTCTCTCTTTTTGATTGAGGTGACCCCTAAATAATAGATAGACTTTTTATCATTATTTTCTTCAGGGAAATTTCCCTCCAATTTCAAAAGTTCATCCAATCCTTCTGAGAATGTGAGGTGTGGTGAAATTATGTTGGGATGCTGATCTGATAATATAAAAAATGCCTGGGCCTCTATCTCCCATGAGCTATTAGAGAAAGAATCCTTCAACGGAGAATTTTTGCTAGAGAAGCACTTGGTGACTGAACTATTTATAAGCCCTTGTTCTTCACCAGTTTCACTTGGTTTAGAGTTGCTGATCAGCGTGGCGTATTTAACAAAGGGTTGTCTCTGGCTTTCGTCCTCATAGGTTACCTCAGTACCCTCAGCCTCAGAGAAGTTAACACTGTTGAACTGGTCACTAATACAAACAGAACCCTTTTCAAGATCTGTTGTTGAAAGTAGAGAGACCACAGTTGTTGGCATCATCTCATCTTTATTTTTCCATGATGTATCAACACTGATATCTTCTGAAATTGTTTCAGGCTCCAAAAGAAGAGGACCACATGTCACTGATGCTGTATGCTTGATAAAAAGATGCTCAAACGTTTCTGGCTAAAAGAAAAGACACATTTTAAGGCTCAATTATGTTAAAAAATTTTGCTTCATTATGTCATACTGGCAGAAATGGAAGTGTGTTAAGTTAATAATAAAGAACATAAGTCAACCACAAATTAACTAGTTTTTGACTAAAATACATATATCAAAAAGCATAAGGAAGAGCCCGTTTAAGATGATAGCATTTGAAAGTGGGACAAGACAGACTTAGACTTGAGTTCTTCCAATTCTACAACCATGAACAAGTACACTAACCTCTCTGCCTTTCAATTTCATCATCTCTAAAAATGTGCTTCATGGTATTGTGGCTAGAAATAAATTAGTGTCTGCAAGTGCTTAGCTCTCAGGAAAGATTGGTTACTGTCATTGGAAAATGCTATCTTCTGAAGATATTTCCTTCCTAATATTTTGTAGCAAATTACATTCCCATAAACTAAAAATGTTAGCCCAAAATAGAAAAAAGTGGATTGAAATGAAATGACCAAAATAACTTGTCTAAAAACAGTTAAAATAACTATGTTGTGAAATAAGATATGGTATGAAAGTAAAATAATTGTGTTGACTATTAAAAACTTATCTGCTGTATACTGAGAATCTGCTTGAGACTATCTGAAAATAAGAGCTAATAATATCATATGTAGAGAACAATGATGATGAAAGAGATGATCACAAACTGGTAAATTACTATTCCTTATAAATAACTTCACGTAAAAATATTTACTATGGACATGTGAAATGAAGACAAATACACAAGACAAATGTACATCATATTTTTTATAGAAGTGATTATATCACAAAGAAAAATCCTGCCAAACAACTACAAATCAAGAATCTGTGGGCAAAAAGCTCAATTCATACAATGTAAACACATTGAAAAAACAAATGCAAAATAAAAAAAGCTGTTGATACATCACCTTGAAAAATTAACACAACTAAATTAAGGGCTATAGAAAATGTGTTCAGCTTATATATCATACACGTCATTTAACTTGAATTTTACAATTTTTAAACTAATAGAATTCAGATTTATTACTTGAAATAATGGTATACCCAGCTGTTCTTCATAATGGCAAGCATATTCCATATACAATACAATTTATTTAGCATAGTTTTATACTCTTAAGTAAAATATGTTAGTGATTAAAAGCATAAAGGAATAAATATGCCAAGCGCAAAATATAATAATGGAATAGACTTATGTAGGTATTAAAATACTGCATAATGACAAATACTGAATTAATACAACTTTCCTATTATTCATAATCATAATATATGAAGAGAAAACTGTTCCTATGCCTGTTTTTTTTTTCTGAAAGAAATCTATGGTTTTATACATTTCTTCAAATATTTGCTTGCTCATTTTCTTTTTTCTTAAGGCTTCTACTATATATGCACTGAACTGTCTTAAAATTTAAATGAACCTACATATTAAGATTGTCAAAAGAATTAGATGCTATCAATATGAAAACAAGGAATACATACAAAAAAACCATAACCATAGTCAAGATTACATATGTCCTTCAAATGATGTGTTTGATATATTTCATGCTAAAATGTCATACTCAGTAACTGTTGAAAGCAAATACTGTAAATGCCTTCCAATGCATTCAGATAGAATATTTCACTCATAATTGATAAGAAATCTCATACTCATATACTATTGAAATATGTTTTGTCAGTGAGTTATAAAACTTTATTAAAAGTATATCCATTTAAAAAATTTCACTATATGCATCTTTTTTTAAGATTTTAGAATAATCTGGGCACATATTAAATATGTGTTGAGTGGGCAGTAATTAAAGAATGTCCTTTCATAATTTCATACTTAGATTTTACATTTCAATGACACCTATTAGAAGTCAAGAAGGGAAGAAAGACACATTCTTCCCGTTTTTGTAGAGTTCTTTTCTACTTTCAAATAAAACTACGAGTTAAATCTAAATATAAGGGATCCATATATACATATATACGCATATATAATAAATTTGAATACTGAGTTCATTAAACATAGTCGTTGGTTTGGTTTGAATGTGAGCAACGCAGCATAATTCGTGTGCTGAATTCATAAAACTAGCAAGCAGTCTGTCTGAAAGTAGAAAAGTTCTGTCCTCACCATGAACTATTCATAAAAGCTCCAAAGAGTCTCCCTTTTTTGCATCACTGCCCATTTCCCTGCCTGCCAGAGGTCTTGGATGGTTCAGTGGAAGTAAATTAGATTTAGGTCATAATTAAACAAGAAAGCTGGATTAGAAGTCGATGTTCCCTTCTGGTCCCGTCAATCTGACCTGGGTATGTAGGGTCATCCTGATATGAACTGTAACTCCCACTGTCCTGTGGGCAGCACAAACACAACTTCGGGCTTCCTTTTAACTGAAACGGAAGTTATCACTTAAGCCATTTTCAAGGATATTGAAAACTGAAATTCCCAGATTGAACAAAGTTAGATACAAAAATGCCAGGAGATATTCAAAAGAACACCCGAATAGGCTGATTTTTAGGCTGACGTGTCTATAAAGGAATCTAAAATGGAAAAGTTTGGACATAAAAATACAAACTAAATATTTTCACTGATTCCATACTTATAATCATTGTATTTTTAAAGCTATTTGTCAGATGTTGCAGTTTTAGAGTTCACCTAATTACAGCATTGTCTACTACATATTTGATGACATTTAATAGATATGTAATGACAGCAACAGCCATAATTTTCTTAATGTTTTATGACCAGGAATATGACAAATCAAAAGCCAGAAATCATGAATACTACTTTTAAACTTTAGATGATTTGAAAATTAATCACACATCCAAACTGGACTCAAATCTACATTTTGAACCCAAATTTACACATCTATTTTAAGTTCTAAATCAACATAATCCACCATATGTTAACTCTCAGAAGTTCAACTGAATTTTTTTTAGATTTGCTCCCCTTCTTCAAAATGTAAAAATCTTCTAATACTCTATAGACTGTTGGGAAGTTGGCACATTGGGTTCATCTGTAGTGATCATGATTAGACTTCAAAGAATGTCCGTTCTCTGTTTAGATAAAATAAAACAAAATAAGAAAGCAAAATAAAAAATCACTCACAAAGAAAAAGATAAAAGATTTCAAAAAACATTGTCAAGCATGGGTTCTGGACTATAAATTTTTGTGTTAGGTTACAATAATGCATCCTTTTGGGAAAGGGCAAAATTTTGAACTAAGGTGGCTTCTCCCATTTTCTTAATGAATGTTTTAATATCACACTCTAAGGACAGCTTTAATTACCCCAGGAAGGGAAAAACTATAGGGAAATAACAGAATAGGTAAAAGGAGAGAAGAACAACGAGCTGGAAAAATTTAAAGAGGGAGAACCAACAGCAATATAGGATAGTTTGGAACAAGAAAAAATAAAAGAGGAGAGCAGTGAAAAGAAAAATTTAAAAAAAATAAAGAGAAAGAAGTGCTAAAAATGGTAAAGAATAGAATCACAGAACCATTCATTACCATGGGTTTTTAAAATCTAGAAATAAGATCTCAGAAATTATATGGTCCAAGTGTCTCCCTTTTTTCTGACAAAGCAATTGAGGCTGCCAAGATTATTTGCTAAAGGTTACATGGCTAATTAGAGTAGAGGGAGGACCCTGACTTAGTTCTTTTTTTCTAGTCCAACAATCTTTCTATAACACAACAGAAGATGAAAGGTTGTCCCAAACACAAATAGGCAGAAGAACATGTTCTTTGTTTCCCTTTTACTACTCGCTGTGACAAAGTTCAGCTGATTAATTTATACTCTCTCCTGGTTCCTCATAACCTGAGGGCTATAAGGAACAAGAAAATAAACAAAACTGAGGTTACATTTTTAGGGGAGTGAAATACACACTTCTAGGCCCAGTAATGTGCATTTCTGGGCATAGGGGAGATGGCTACTTCTAAACAGAACTTCTAACTCGAAAATGCACCAGCTCTTCCACACATTTGGAAGGCCATCTAGCAACTTTAGGGATGCTTCTGATTCAGATCTGTGAGGATGGTGTTCTGGGAGGCCACGGGTTATTGAGCTGCTTTATTTGGAGGCCTAGGGCTGACTGGGGAATCTAAGATAGTTTTTAGATCCCAAGGAAAAATCTATTTGTTTCTAGCTTTAGCCCCGCTAAAGGAAGTTGTTAAATGGAGTAAACTCTTGTGAAAGCTGGCATAAATGTAGACACAGGAGCATGGCTGGATAAAAACAAACAAAAAACAGAGAATGAGAAAAATATTGTAAAATAAAGAATAAAAAGGAGTGGAACAAATTGAAAATGAATTAAAGAGGCTTAAAATATCTTTAAGGGAAAAACCCAGGTGATTTGGATTTAGAAGAAATTTAACAAATTAGGCAGAAATGCTAAGGTAAAAAGGTGCAAAACAAAGTAAGAAAGGTAATAGTTCTTTTACACTCTAAAATTTGAATTGGAAGAAAAGCAAGGCTAATGAGTTATCATAACACATTTTCTTACAACAAAAATTCAATATATGTTTAAGATTCTGATTTTTAAGGTATAAACAGAAATGGTATTCTGATTCAAGATGGCTGACTGAACAGGTTTCTCTCTTGTCTCTATAGAGATTCTGTTGGAATGGCAGTATGTAAATGAGTCAAATACAGACCCACCACAAAGAAGATGATCTGAGAGGGCTAATGAGAAGTGGGTAATTTTCATTCATTGCTAAAAGATAGAAAACAATTGGAAGAGTATAGATCAAAGAAGGTGAGCAAAGAAAGCTGAAGACCAGAATATATCCAGCTGCAGCTCAGGAGAAAGAAAATTAGCCCTGCCGTATACAGCGGAGACAGTGCGTGAAGAAATGGCACGTAAAAACACATGAAGACAAGAGAACTGTGGCTGGAAACTGGGGCCTAATGGAAGTTCTGTATATGGAATAGGGCTCTTCTACTCCTCTGCTGAACATGGAAGAGCCTCCATGTAAGAACTACCCTTCACAACCAGACTGAGGGTTTGTTCTCAAAAGCAACTAAGGAACTGTCTGGGGAGGAAGACAGCAGCCATGGAATATTGCTAGCTGAGAGCACATCTTTCCTCATCTGGCCAGAACCCTGCCTACTCACCCAGGGCAACAATCCCTGCCTATATACACTGGGCTCCCAGTCAGCCTGTCTACTGTTTCATTCCTAAACATGAAAGGAAAACAAAGGATTACCAGATATTAGGAGGAAAGTCTGAGATAATAAAAGAGAGGCCAAGATAAACAACAGGAACACACGACCTAGAAGGAACACAGAATTCAGGGAATAGAAGAAAAAAGAATTTTTAAAATAAAAGAACAAAAATCCTCGAATTGGTATTTCTAGCAACATTTAAGAAAATATGCATAAAACCAGAACAGAATACTCTGAGAAAGAATACTTGGAAATTTACAAAAATAATAGTATATAAAAATCCAACAGAAGCACTGGAAGAAGAGGGTATGGCAAGGTCTCAGAATATAACACACACACACACACACACAAAACAAAGAAACCGAAAATATGAGATAAAAGGTAAGAGATGTGGAAGATCTACGCAGAGGGTCCATCATCCAACATACAGATTCTAGAAAGAGAAACAAAGAAACAAGAGGAGAGGAAATTATCAAAGAAATAATATAATTTCTTAGAATTGACAGGAGACATGGAATTGAAAGTCTCTTCAAAAAATAACCACATTAAATAAAAAAAGAACCACTCCAGATTCATCACTGAAAATTCAAAACAACAAAAATGAGGAGAATTTTTTTTTCTTTCTTTTTTTTTTTTATTGATCATTCTTGGGTGTTTCTCACAGAGGGGGATTTGGCAGGGTCATAGGACAATAGTGGAGGGAGGGTCAGCAGATAAACAAGTGAACAAAGGTCTCTGGTTTTCCTATGCAGAGGACCCTGTGGCCTTCCGCAGTGTTTGTGTCCCTGGGTACTTGAGATTAGGGAGTGGTGATGACTCTTAACGAACATGCTGCCTTCAAGCATCTGTTTAAAAAGGAAATTATAAGTAAACAGTGAGGAGTAAAAATCACAATAGTATCTGACTGCTCAGAAGCAACACTGGATACTATATGTTAAGGCAGGAATTATCTCAATGTTCTCTTGGAAAGGCTATTTCTAAGAATTGATACTCCACCAAACTAACAATCGAGGAGGGCAGAATAAAAGGCAGTTCAGGCATGGAGAGATGGAGACTTATCGCATACTTCTTAGGAGGTTACTTAAGGGTGTAGTTAAGAAAGATGAAGGAAAGGAATCCAGGAAACAGTACTAACCAGAAACCAGTTAAGGGAAAGTTTAGAGTGATGGCTTATAGTAATTTTAGAGAAAGCCTAGTCCTGATTGAAGTAGGAGGATAGAGGAGTTCCTGGAGAGTCCACTAGAACAACACCTCCAGTAAAGATGGGGTAGTGGATAAAATAGGTAACATAACAGCATAGATTATATAATGGGAGGGGAGGGAAGAGAAGGGGAAGGAGAAAGAAAGACAGCATGAAAAGAAAGAAAGAGAGGGAGGGAGAGAGGGATGAATGGATGAAAGAATGGAGGGAGGAAGAGGAAGGAAGGGACAATTAGAAACTTAAGGAAAAGAAAAAAGATAAAAACTAAAAATGAAGCTAACTAAAATTCGGCACAATTTTGATCAACAGGTGGAATATATCTAATATATTTTTTAAAAAATTCCCCTTTGACATCGGAACCACTGAGAAGTGTAATCACATATTATTAAATACTTGGTTCAGTAAGTCACAATATTTACATAATCATAACAATGCAAATTCAGTTTATTAGTTTTTCTATTTTTAAAAATAAACCACAGACAAATTACAACACAGAACATCATATCAACCCTGACTTAAGGAAAAACATAAACTTAGATTTAGAGATTGGAAAGTAGAGGGAGAAATGGAGGGAAGCGTAAGAGTGCTAATGTTTTTATTTAAAAAAAAAAATAGCAGGGGAGCTCCAAGAAATAGTCTTCTGTTTAAAAGAACAAGAAATGGAAGTTTAAGTAGATTTTTCTGAGGTTGGAGAAATGATTACTTAAGGAATTGAAAAAAGTGACAAGACAATATGGGTAGAAACACAAGGAGGGAATAATGTGTGGGAGTAAATCCTCGTTGTAGCCAGAAATCAATAGATACCGTCTACATTTCATAGTGGCATAAGCATATGGTTTTTAGAAATAAAAAGGTGACATACCAGAAAAACCAAAAGTCAGACAGTTAACTAAAGAGGCATTTGGAGAGCAAGACTAAGGGTACGGAGGGGTGGAAAAGGGGACTGTCCTTTTCATGAAGTGGTCTTCCAAACTCAAATATTTAACTGTAACATTTCATTATTAAGTCATTCACATATATTTTTTCAAAAAATTTTAAATATTGAGAAATATCATATACATGAGAGAACAAAGAGACATATACAACCATACTTCCTGCAGCACTTTTTGTAATAAATATAAAAAAGTGTTCAAACACCTTAAACATCCACCAGTAGAGGAATAAATGAATTGTGCTATGTTTGTATAATGGAATACTACAGACCAGTCCAAATGTGTGAACTAAATTAACTACATCAACTTGGAGAGAGCTCAAAACACAATGTTCAGAGATATTTTTGGAATAATATGAAAGGTACATTAACATTTTCAGTACTTCAAAGGATTACTCTTCATTGGTCATGGATACACACATGTGAAAGTAGGAAAGTATAAATGCACAAACTAGACAAACACAGGCTACAGCATTCTTGAAATCATGGGTTCCTCCAGGAAGAGGAGGGACCGGAAATAGTGGAACAAGCAGGACAAACTTTACCTGTAGTTTTTATTTATTTTAAAAATGAAGAAAATGCAGAAAGTTTTAAAATATTGTGTTAATATAGAGCTGTTTTCATATTGTCCTATATTTTCATCTTTATATTATCCAGAAAAACTAATTTTAAAAGAGAAAAGGAAGTGGAACATACAAAAGAAAAAAGATCTGGCAGGAAATTATATTGGCAAAATTATTTTTAATCACATATGGTATTATCCTATTGTTAGCAATGTCTGGCATATAGTGGTTTTAAATAAATGTTTTCTTTTCATTTTTCTTTTAGAAATACATTCAAAATATTGGATTTTTAAAAACACATTTGATTAACATAATTATAGGTTCAGGATTTAGATTTAATATAAACCAAGGGGAAGGAAAATGACAGCTTCAAAAGTGGAATAGATTAATTTTAGGGAAGATTTTGAAAATCATGTTAGATGTCTAGAAATTTCAGGTTAAGAGTACTTTCATAATAATCAATATTCAAAATATCTGAATTTGGAGAACAAATTAAAGGAAACACTTGATATAGAAATTATTACTTCCTTTAAAAAATACTATATTTGTATTTGAATTATTTTTAAAAACAATAGGCTCCTCTGGTCTGCTTTCTTTGCAATATAGTGTGAGTTTTTTGTTTGTTTGCTTATTTATTCATCATTTGGGTTACTTTCACATTTTGGCTATTATGAATAATACTGCTATGAGTATTCTTATAAAACTTCCCATGTGGATTTGCTATTTCATTTCTATTGAGTACATACCTAGGAATGGAATTACTGGATCATATAATAATTCTATGTTTAACCTTTTGAAGAATTGTCAGACTATTTACCGAAAGAGTTGCTATTCCATTCCCACTGTCAGTATATGATAATTCTAATTTCTCTCTATTCTCACCAACACTTACTATCTGTCTCTTATTATAGCCATCCTACTGGGCATCTTGTGGTTTTTATTTGTGTTTCCCTATTATCTAATGACACTGAGGATATTTTCATTTGTGCTTCTTGGCTATTTGTGTATCTTCTTTGGAGAAATGCCTATTCACATCATTTGCCCATTTTTATGATGTTAAAATATACGTAACAATATTTACCATTTGAACTATTTTTAAGTGTATAATTTAGTGGCATTAAGCATATTAAGAAATACATTGTTAATATGGAACTGATGGCACGGGTATCAATTTGAGTCAGATAGATCTGGATTTGAACCACAGATGTTACATGGACAGGCTGGGTGAGCAAGACAAGCTACTGAACCACTCTGGGCCTCAGTTTTATCATCAGAAAATATAAGGCTATTAGCCCTATGAAATAATTTAAATAACATGAATATGAAACATAGGGTGGATGGTAAATTTGCCTTTTCCTGTTTAGTAATATAAAGTGAGTTACACTATATTATTTTTCCTTTAAAAAGCATATTTTAGGCAGGGTGTGGTGGCTCACATCTGTTAAGTCCAGCATTTTGGGAGGCTGAGGTGGGTGGATCACTTGAGCCTGGGAGTTCGAGACCAGCCTGGGCAACATGACAAAACCCCATATCTACAAAAATTAGCCGGGCGTGGTGGCACGCGCCTATGGTCCCAGCTACTAAAGGGGATGAGGTGGGAGGATCAGTTGAGCCCAAGGACGTCGAGGCTGCAGTGAGCTGAGATCTCACCGCTGCGCTCCAGCCTGGGTGACAGAGCGAGACCCTGTCTCAAAAAGAAAAGGGTACATTTTAATTGTTTAGGAGATTAAAACAACAGGCTAAAGAGAAAAAAGTTAATGAATTTTAGAAGATTTTTATCATTAATAAAATCTTTGAAGTTATATTCTCCTTTACTCTTTAAATGTTCTATTATATTCCAAAACCTAATTTATTCCTAATAGTGTTATTTATGCGCCTGGTCAGCCCTAGTAATAAACTAAGCATCTTGTGGGTTAGCTGTGCTTAAAAAATAATTTATAAGATTAGAAAGTCAAATATTTCCAGAGATTTTTAAAAAATCAGTCCTACAAATAAGAACATTCACACCCACTGTATTATAAAAATTCTTCACATTTCTTTAATTTACCAGAACTTGAAAAAATGTGGCAATATTTCAATCTACTTGTATATAAGGTCTGTCAGATGACCTGTGGCAGCATTGTGCACACCTCAGGGAGAGCAGGTGCGGCAGCGAGGTAGGACGTAGTCTACAAGCATTTCCTAAGTCAACCAACCTCCACCCAGTAGTTCCTTTGTGCCAGGCATTTTCTGGAAAAGGGAAAAATAATTTGCTGCAGGTTTAAACTGCATTTTGCTGATGTGGGCCTGATCATTTCATGGCCCTCCTGAACACTGAGAAACCACTTCATGGTGGTCCATAGGTAAGATTTCAGAGCTTAAATGCTGAAGAGAGAGTGTTTCAGCCTCTTTTTAAGTGACATTAAAAAGTAAGATGATCATTCCCTGAATTAATATATACCTATATACTGAAAATTTGGCAATTTTACTTAGATAAGTATATAGGTTTTTTGACATAAAACCCTCATATTTAAGAAAAAGTCTTATAGTCTTCCTATTTCCAGTTTGTGAATATGCTAGGTACTGCCTTCCACATGACTTAGTGTTTGCAGGTACTTAGCTGGACACCACATCTCTGCCTCAAAACCTAGTTAATGATTGTTCATCTACCAGATCTTGGCCCAAATGTAATTTGCTTAACTTTATCCACTCACCCCCACGGATACACTAAGCCAGGTTCCCACATTATAAGCGCTCAGCACAATGGAACCCCTTCTTTCACAACATGTAGTTTACAACTATAAGGTTGTGATTGGATCATTATATGTTATATACATGTAACAAAATTTCTCATGTGCCCCATAAATTTGTACAAAAAAAAAGTAATGCTATTTCCATGATAAATGTATTAATGATTATCATCCCCATTAAACTGTATACTCAGGAGCACATAGTGTTTTTCTTATCCTTATAATGCCAGGGCATACTATAGTGACTGGTATAGGGTAAGTATTCAATCATATTGAATATATGGATGAAATGAATAGAAAAGAACTATTTTAGAGAGGCAAAAGGAGACAAGCTCTTCCTATTCTACTTTCAACCCAGCCACTCTTCTCTGACCTCACTGTCTTATTTCTCATATGGTAAGAAAAATCTGTTCTCCCAGACCCTAGCAACAGCCAAGCCTTACATATAAATACTCACCATGTGCTTGTTGAACAAATGAATGAACGACATATATATATCTCTCTCTGAAATATCATCACAACTACACAAAATGTCACTGTATAAATTCTTAGTAAAAGATAAATGAGAGAAAAAATATTTACTTGAAAAACTCGGCAACACTGTTTTAATGAAAGAAGACTCTGGCTTAGTGAGCAACAGCACAGGTGAGGAGTATATAGGAGTGTGGCTGATTAGACTCAGGCAAAGCGAAGTTTCTATAAAAAGAATTGTTCGTATATAAAACAACACTACTGCTGCTTCTGAAGACAGGGCATTCTTTCTCCTGCTGAAAAATTACAATTCAATCTTTTTCTTTGTTCATTATGTCTACAATATTAGTTGTTTACTTATTCATTGATAAGCTGTAGAACAGTGTTTTTCTAACTGCAAATCATAGGCCATTCGAATGTTGTGAAATCAATTTAGTGTCTTGCAACCAGCATTTTTAACAAATAAAATAGAATTTTAAAACATTCTATTTCAAGCAAGAAGTAAAGCTGCTTTGCGTATCTTTCATTTCGGTCTTGCATATCTGTATCTATGGTGTACTAGGTTGGAAGGTAAAACGTATTTATACATTAAAAATGCCAAAACTGCAATTACTTTTGCACCAACCTAAGTTTTTTTCACTGTGGGTCATGGCGAAGAAGAAAGAAAGAAAAAGAAGCCACTGCTATAGAGAACAGCTGCTATTAGAACAGGCTCCAAAGCCAGACAAACTGGTAAGCTAATCTTGCCTCTAAAACAAGTTACCGAACCACTATGAGCTTCAGCTTTCTCTTTTGCAAAATAGAGAGAATAACACTTGTCCCATAGGGTAACTGAAAGAATAATAATAGTAATATAAAATACATAAATATGTACAATAATAATTAATATTTGTTGAGACCTTACTATGTCACAAGTACCATCTTCTTTAGTCCCGCAAACAACCTAATAAGGTAAGCAGCCTATTTCACAGAAGAGGAAACTGAAACATTGAGAATGTAAGTAAAAATCTTAATAAATGTAAGAATATGTATCTCAGTGCTTTGCACATAAAGAACAGCAGGAGGAGTACTACAAATATTTGTGATGGATAAAATACAGTCTTTGAATTCAGAGCACTATCCACAATTAAAAAAACAGTACAATGATCTAGGAACTTAAAGGGGGTAGAAATTCTTTTGAATTACACTGGTTAAAGGAAGGCTTGAGGAAAGAAGGGCCTAGAGCAAGATCTTCATGTACAAGGAAGGCTCTGTGAAGGTGGATGGGAACAGTAAAGGTATCATCAAGGCCCAGGGATAGAAAAAGTCGTATAGGTAGGTTGATAACAGATTGTAGAAAGAGGTCCTTGAGTACTATTAATAGCTTCAGGGGGCTTTAGTTTATATCTTGTATTCAAAAGGAAACCATTGAAAACTTTTAACAAGTGACTAATGATAAAGATGCAATCACCAAACCTGGATAATAACCTCCAAATAAGTATTGTTTAAAAATCTGTATATTTTGACTTGACTGAATTCTATTTTTCCAGTTTTATGAGTGGAAAGCTAGCTTTGCTTCAAGGGACATTATGAGAATTAATAAAACAGTCACTAAATTTAGAGCTTTCTGAAAAATCCTACTATAGAAGTAAATACAAATTATTTTATTATAGTTGACTAACTCTCATAAAGTACTTGTACTTGAATGGAACTTCTGCATAAATATAAGTTTTATTATGATCACTGCATTTTTCAGATTGTAATGTTTGAGGATTATATAATTTTCTAATTTATTTAAATAATTATGGAGATAATTATAGACATTAAAAATATTGATTCCAGCCTTTTGCCTAAATACAGTTTATACCAAAAAAAGTGTATCCAAATATCTGTTCTCCATCAGATTGACCCTTAACTTTCTAATATTTATTTTATTATGTACTGTGACACAGAAGCAACATATGTATATTGTGAACTCTCATACGATAAACTATGCGCTGAAATTTGTTTCTTCCTGATTTCAAATCCCTGCATCCTGCTATTCTTGAAAGTATATAATAACAGATATATTAAGATGAATTGAATAAAATATGACCTTTTAAATCTTAAAAATGCTTAATGCTCTATAAGTCATATGGCGTCTAGATTGCAATCGTATATATTCTGGGTTAAAAAAAATTGAAAAAGCAACCTTCTGAAAATTAAGTCCTTGTGCCCAGGAACAATTCTTGGGGTTCGGAACATCTTCCCAAAATAGCTTTTTCATTCTACAAAGGATAAACAGGGCATCAAAATTAGAGAAAAACATCCATATTGAAAATGTGAACAGTTAGTGAACAGACAAGCTAGAAATTAGTCCACCAGATCAACTATGCCTCCGTAGGGTCAGATGCATTTTCACATGCTAGCCCATGAAGATTTCTACCAAACTTTTATCTAGACCCAAGCTGAAAATCACTGTAATAATAGAAATAGCCAATACTTATTGAAAGCTGTGTGCCAAGCACCATGCTAAACACTGGATAGATTTCTCTCAAAGAAATTGAAATATTAAAAATGGTCACAAAGTGGGTACCAGAAAAAATTCCATTTGATGTGGCCCCATCAACTCACTTAACTACAAGATAAATTCAGATTCTAAAATCTCCTCTCTCTCTTTTTTGCCTGAAGACGATGGTTTCTACAGAGATTTGGCATGTGTAAAATAACCACACTGGACTTCTCAGCACAGAGAGTATCATGGCACCCATGCCACCATCCACGGAACTCAGGCATTTGCCTGACAAGCCAAGCAGACTGGAGCCACACAGTGCTGATCTCTAAAAAGCAGAGTGCCTGCTGATCATAAATGAACTGACTGCTCCAGGTCACCACTAAAAGGCTACTTTTACCACCCACTTCACCACAAAACGTCCTTAACCCAAACTGCAGAACTCTGAAAGCCATTTTTGCCACCTCCAAGAACATACTGCTTAGGATTTCCTGTTATAAGCTTGTTGTTTCCTGAATGTATGTACATTTTTTTTAAAAAACTAAATTCTTCCTTGAAGTTATGTTGTCCTTGACAGAGCAGGAGCATCACCATCATGGACAAGCACCTCATATTAAAATTCCCCTTAATCAAAAACCACCTAAATCCAAAGGGCATCAGCCTAATGGCTAAGGTCAGCATTACCATAAACCACAAATAACATCTCCAACCAGAAACATTCCATCCTCCCTGACCAGGCACATGCCAGCCCCAAGATAACCCTCCCCATCCAGCTGGAAAGATGTCAGCCCCAAGATAACCTCCCCTCCTCCCAGAGACATTCCAACCCCGCCATAAACTTCTCCCTCACACATAAACATTCCAAGCTTGTGATAAGCCCCCTCACCCTAAAACCAATACATACTCTTAGTCTGTAAGAGAAAGGGGCTCCTGAACAAAATTGGCCAGAAGCCCCTCAGGTTTTATCTAAAGAAAACCTGTCTTTAACTGTTAAGCTGTGTTTCGTGTTTCTTTCCTCATTCTTTAACTCTTACAGTCCTAGCAAAATGGAATGCCATTTCCTCACAACAGGCCTTTCCTTTTTATGCTATCTTAATTG
This sequence comes from Homo sapiens, assembly GCF_000001405.40. NCBI lineage: Eukaryota > Metazoa > Chordata > Mammalia > Primates > Hominidae > Homo > Homo sapiens. Next base: position 65,621,582 of record NC_000001.11, on the reverse strand, counting down.
TATACAGACTACATATAAAAGCACTTAGAAGACTTTAATATTCCTAATTTAGAAGGTTTTAAATCAGGGTTTGAATACGCGTAAGGACTTTTGCCGTAAAGATTCTTAACCTCAAGTACAATACCTTTGGTGTGATATTAATAATGTTCCAAGCAATAAGATGGAAGAGGAAATAATTACTGGCACAATTACATATAAACCTGCATCACTCTGGTGTTTTTCAATATCATCTGAAAAAGAAATACAATTTACACAACTCAGAAACTTGAGGAAATATTAATTTCTTTCTGTATCAAAAATTATAGTAGACATTTTCTGAATTCATCACAAATCTCTTATTACCTTCAAAAATATAAAAATAAAAAATGAAGATAAAAATATGTTGTGATCACATTAATAAAATACTTATTATTTTGTTCAGCATCATATCTACTGTAAATTAGCAAAATATTTTTTCAAATTTATTTATTTGCCATTCCTCTCTACCTGATCATTTTTACATTATAATGGGCCAAAGTGTCAAACTTGTTATGATGACTGTCTCAGTATCTACTCCTGGAGGACCCAACCTTCCACACCTGCCAATCTCTATCTTGTTCACTCCACACACACTGATTTCCTTGCTGTTTCTTGAACCACCAAGCATCCCCACTCTTTAGGGGCTCTTCACACACTGTCCCTTTGCCTGGAATGCTTTTGCTATTTGTACAGTTATGTCTTCACTGAACATCATTGATAGGCTCTTGGAAACTGCAATGTTAAGTGAAATGGCAATGTATAACAAAACCTTTTTTTTCTCATCAACATTATAATGAAACTACCTTGAACAAAATGATGTTATTCAAGGACCTCCTGTAGTTCATGTTGCATAAAGTTGCAGTTTCCAAGAATCTATTGACTATATCAAGTAGGGTCTTACTGTACTTGCAAGGTTTTACTCGAATATCATCCACCTCCATAGAAAGACCATTTCTGGCTATCAACTAAAGTGCCACATTTAATGCCATCCCTTTATCTTGCTTTTGTTTTCCTTCATGGCACTTATTTCTATCTGACATTATATAATTATTTTTTGCCCATCACTCTCAATTAGAGCACTGGTATTTAAGATCCATAAGGGCAGAAACTTATGTTCACTATTCAATCCACAGTGCTTAGAACAATGCTCAATTAATATCTGTTGGATAATACATGTATGAATTTTTTTAATGATTTTTATTCTAACAACAAATGAAATGTTTATCTCTTGAAATATCATTGCTAGGTTGCTTAGATTTGAAGACAATTTAAAAAGTAATAACAAAATCAAAATGTTGGTATTCCAAGTACAGTAAGATGAATCAGAAATATAAGAGGCCCAGTGACTCTATTTCTATAGCTCCAGTTTTATTTTTAGAGGAAAAAAATATTTCCTTTGGAACCTCACCATGAAAAATCTACAGAAGACTTTGGACTCTTCCATGATTCTATCAGAAAAAGAATAATCAGATGGCAATATTACTGCAAACAAATTAGGCACACACATTGGTGTAAAAGGAAACTAAAATTATAATTTTTACCTTGAGTGAAACTATTAATTATCTTTGGTTTTCCCACTCCTTCCATAAATATTGGGTAAAGACTGAACTGGTACTTCTCAATGGGGATAAAATGATCTGAGGAGAAAAATACGTAAAAGGCTCATTTATACAAAATTAATAGTAATGAGTGGAACATACATTTTAAAAAAGAATTAAAGTGACTATCATATATTTCCAAACATAGAAATTACTTATTATTTGTGGATTAAATTATCAAGGGAGTTTCAAAACAAACTTAAGCACTTCTAATTATCTAGTCATGACAATAGTTTTCCAAATATTTTTCTAAAAATCTTAGCCAGAGACAGAAGATTGCAATTTTTCAAAGGCATGTTCCAGTGATAGCCAATTTGTTCAAGTGCAGGGTGTATGAGCTTTTTCTTTCCTTCATTTCCTTTTCCAGAGCAATATGTTCTACTACCTCTCCCTTACCCCCAAAGTGGGCAATACTCCTTTTTTTAATAGGAATTCAGCTTACTTAGTTTCCCCATTCCATTCAAGGTAGCTGGGAGACTAAAGTCTTGTGAAATCCTATGCAAACAAAATGGTGGTGGAGACCACGAGACCCCTTGCAAGATCTGGGATTTTGATCCATGGAAAATGACCAACCCTATAGCAAAGCTCCAGATGGATCCATCATGATTTTCACAAATGCTAATAATATATGAATATTCTTCTAGAAGAATATATCCAGAAGAAGAGAGATCTCTGTGAAGCCTAAATTTTATATCCTCATGGTTTAAAGAAAAGCACAGAGAGAAACTACCTGCGCATCAGTGGTGATGAACTAAATTCAGTTCAACAATTTGTAAATAAATTTACCCTGATGCTAAATTCTAGGTCCCTGGAATAAAATAATGGTATGAGTCCTTAGAATGATATTGTATAATAAGATCATAGCAATCCTTAGCTTCCCTAGTTAACTTTCCTCAATCCTTACTCAGACTTAGAAATGCTGTCTTGTGCACTTATACTTTGTGCTTGACTCACCTCCTGGAATAACTGGTCTAACTTTGGGAGAATACCCTGGTCTAGGTCACCCAGTCCTAGCTCCTCAGACCTTCAGGCTAGCATTCCCACTCATTGTTAGTGGCATTATAAGTTGGTACACAGTTTGAGGAAACAATTTGGCAGAAGATATCAGAAGCTGTTAAAAAATGATTTAAGAAAAGATAAAGCTGGAAGCAACATAAAGAATCTCAAACAGTTTAAGTGGACTTTGGAATAAAATGCTATATCATTAAAAATAATGGTAGAAAGAAATGAGGAGAAAATTGATATGATATGATAGGATAGGATATATGATATGATATGATATGATAACCCCTGTATAAAATGTTAAAATGAGAAAATGTCAAAGGAAACAGAATTAGGCTGGGTGTGGTGGCCCATGCCTGTAATCCCAACACTTTGGGAGGCCAAGGCAGGAGGATCACTTGAGCTTAGGAGTTCAAGACCAGCCTGAGCAACATAGTGAGACCTTGTCTCTACCAAAAAAAAAAAATTTTAATTAGCTGGGTGTGATGGTGTGTGTCTATAGTCTCAGCTACTCAGGAAGCTGAGGTGGAAAGATAGCTTGAGCCCAGAAGGTTGAGGCTGCAGTGAGCCATGTTTGTTCCACTGCACTTTAGCCTGGGCAACACAGAGAGACCCTGCCGAAAAGAAAAGAAAAGAGAAGAGAAGAGAAGAGGAAGAGAATTAAATGTTTTGATAAAGGTTATAGGATTATATGTATTAGGATGGTAGTATCCTCTATATTTTTGAAGTTTTCATTAACTGGCTATATTAATAGAATTAATAATCTGTAGTGTCATATTAATCCATGAGAGCAACTTACTAAAGTATAGTAAACTTACCATGGATATAATACTTCTTAACAGATGAAGAGATTCTAAGCCATTTTATTTCACCATCTTCATTAAGATTTTTCCACTCAATAATAAAATACATTAGCTTGTAATCACTGGGTGATAGTATCCAGGAAACAATCACACAACTGCTGTTTAAAGGATAAGCACTGAGTGACTGCACGATATTTACTGAGGGGAAAAGAAGGAAATTAATTTTTAAATTAAAAATTAATAAAAATCTACTAATACTCTTGAGGAACTTATAACCTACTAAAGGGAATAAGGAAGAGAAGACAGACAATTTACACAAATAAATATGATACATGACAATTACTTTTGCATCATGAGAGTCATTTAAACAGAGAGATATGGGAATAGATGACATTGAAGAGAAACATGATACTCCCTAAAACCTTAAAAAGCAATTTTTTGATATATTCAAAAAGGCATTCTCATATGGAATACTGCACAAGCCTATTAACCATCCTCTCCCACTGATGGAGTGATACTCTCAAAGCACAAATCTGTTCATTTTAACACCATCTGCACAGCATCCCACTTAAAAGCCTCCAGCGGATTTCTACATTTGAGGGTAAAATTCCTATCATGCCTGCAAGGCCCTGAGGGCCAAGTCTCAACGCACCTCTCTGCCTTCCATGATTTCCCACACCAAAGCCACCCTGGTCTTTCTTCATTTTCTATCCTGTGCCATAGACTTTTGATCTGGCTGCTCTTGTTAGGAGCCAATGCTTTTCCTGCCCTCCCCTACATCTTTTGGGGAAGTTTAATTCCTACTCACATTTCAGATTTCAGTTCAGTACCACTTCCTCAAGGTGGCTTCTCTGAATCTCAATGCCAGGTCAGGTTCCTTTTTTTCATTCCTTTCATAAAATTATATTCCTTTCCTGCAGGCCCTTATCTCTCAGTTTGCAAATAGACATTCACTTGTATGATTATTTCATTAATACCTGTCTTACCTATTAGGCTCTGGACACTCCAACCATTATAGTTTTTCTCACATTACAATTCCCACTACCTACCCCACTGACGCATTCTACAGATATTTCTAGAATATATATACTTAGGAAATGTTAAGCATAAAACACTGAGCTGGGTGCTATGGAACTCGATGCTTAACACTATAAATACAAAGGTAATCATAATGTAAACAGGACATAAAATAAGAAAGACAGGAAGCACTCTGAGATTTAAAGAAGAGATAGGGCATATTCAATTAAAGCAATAAGCAAAGATTTCATAAAGGAGGTAACAGTTGGAAAGGCCTTTATAGATTGGTAGAGACACAGAAAATTTGTATTTTCCATTAAAAATTTACACTTTGAATATGTAATCTAGACTAGAAATTCCTATTGAAAGTGGGTCTCAATTCTCCGATTAATCAGATATATCAAAATTAATGCAAGAAGGTTTGCTACTCACATTCAATGAAGTCCATAGTAATTTTAAGTCTCAGCAATTAACCTGCATCCATATAACATGTCATGCTATTACTATTTTACATAGTGTTAAATATATATTTAATATGATATATACTTATTTTTACATATTTATATGTGTGTATGTATGAATATAAATATATACATGTATATGTACATAGGGAGAGAGAATTATTGACCTAAAGATCTCCATTGGTCCAAAAGATTTAAGTATTAGATTCACTAAAACATTCTCATATATTATAACACCATTACAACAATGTTCTCCCAAATGAAAGCTCAAGGACTGTATTATGTGATCATTGTACAATGTACTTTGTTATTTTTCCAGACAAAGGAAATGAAAGGTGAAAGAGAGACTTTCAGATGCAGAGAATTGCAGGCTGCTTGAAAGATAATTTAAAATAGGAGAGTTTGCAAAAGTTAAATATTAAAAGAGGCAATGGATTACCACTCTGTACCTCTTCTTACCTTTGCTCATAGGCCATGAAAAGGTTAAATTAAAATTTGCAACAGAAGCACCAATTGAATTGATGGCCAGAACCGTAACAGTATGTGCTTGCTCTGTCCACAGGAAAGTGAATTTCGTGTGATTTCCCACATCTTCTGACCATGTTCCATTGCAGGAAGTATGATGGTTTATCACATATCTCTGAACACTGCACAATGAGTCATTTTTCATCAGGGGCTGTAGTAAATATAGAAATTGATTAGTTTAAGGGCTGCAGTGCTTTTTATACTAACTGAGCTCACATAACTCTCATTCTACATTTCTTATTAGGAGGCAGGGGCCAGATCAGGGCAGGTACTATTACAAGGCTGAGAGGCTGGGGAGATGGGTGGGATAGAGTTTGCCTCTGCCACAGTCTCCATGAAGGTGTCTGGATCGTTATGGAGCATAGCAAACTTATTTTCCCCTTTTTGAGGTTTTTTTCTTAAGGCCCAGAGAATAAATCACTTGAAGATAATAAAGTAGGGATATGATCAAGACACTTTTCTACCAAGAAGTTTCACTCTAATTTTAGAGAAATGAAAGACATAAGGAGTAGAGAGTTTCCTCATCTAAAAAGCAAACAAGGAATAACCCTCAGAAAATGAAAAGCAACAACAAGAGCTGTGAAGGTGTTAATCATCATATATTGATCATAGTAAGATTTGTCATTCATTTTCCTTTCCTCTGATACTCTTGGAAGATTATCTAGAATGTAAGAATGTCTGCAAAGGTTAATGAGTAACAGAGGCCATCAAAACAGTGTCTATGGCACCCCAGAATTTCTGTCATATAATTAAAAATAATAATATCAGGTCATTAAAGATCCGAATGTAAAATAAGTGTCTAGTTCAATTCTATTCTTATATTCCACAGAGGTTAACAGTGTACCCCATTTCCCCAATCAACTTCACCTATGGCAGGTAAGATTAAATGCTGGCAATCCCTTATAAAGACAGAGAAGGCTGGACTGTATATCATAGACTAGAACAGTACATCTCAATTTCTTGCCGGTGAGATGCCTCTAAGTTAGAAATGGCAGAGAAAAATAAACACATATACATGTATCCCTGCAAAACTTGGAATCATCTGGATAGGTTGAAAGTAAGATTTTAGCAGCCACCGCAAGAAAGAAATGTTTCAAAGTCATGCAAATGTTGCATTTTATTTGAAAAAAAAACATGTCAGTTTTAATGAATACTTTTTTGGTAACCATCAAGTAAGAGAATGTTAAGCTTCCTTACTTTCTGGTACTACAAGATCCTCCAGGCTAATCTCGTATATTTTCTGCCCCAACCCTAAAATTAGCCATTTCTTCCAATAGCCCTTGTTTCTATTATTGAACGATGGTAATTAGAAACAAGTCTGGGCACATGTCTTACTACTGGATGTCATTACTTTTAGGCCCTCTTACCTTACAAATCAAGAAAATGTACATGTATCCTAAACCAGAATCTAGCTATATCTATATTAAGCTAGATATAAGTTCATACCTATATCCCCAACTCTAATTCATTGCCACATGGATCATCCTGTGCTTGTGTGTAACCTCCCAATCCAACAGTGAGAAATCTGGGTCCCACCATCCACCATCCATTTACTTGCTTGTCCCCTTCCAGAGTACATGTAGAGCAGTACCATAATTGTTAGCCCATAGCCCTGTGAGAACTGTATCAACTAGAGTACAGTGCTTATGTACAGTTTCTTTTGCCTTTAGTCTTAAGATTCCACACATTTCCAACAACTCCACTCAAGTTCCAAAGT